>NC_000010.11:39497296-39570652 GCF_000001405.40 Homo sapiens
TTGTTTTGATAGAGCAGTTTTGAAACAGTCTTTTTGTAGATTCTGCAAGTGGACATTTGGAGCTGTTTGAGGCCTGTGGTGGAAAAGAAAATATCTTCACATAAAAACTAGACACGAGCATTCTTAGAAACTTCTTTGTGATTTTTGCATTCAACTCACAGAGTTGAACATAACTTTTCATAGAGCAGTTTTGAGACACTTTTTGTAGAATCTGCAAGTGGTTATTTGGACAACTTTGAGGCTTTCATTGGAAATGGGAATATCTTCACATAAAAACTAGACAGAAGCATTCTCAGAAACTCCATTGTGATTTGTGCATTTAACTCATAGAGTTGACCATTCCTTTTGATAGAGCAGTTTTGAAACACTTTTTGCAGAATCTGCCTGTGGATATATGTTTTGCTTTGAGGCCTATGGTGGAAAAGGAAATATCTTCACATCAAAACTAGACAGAAGCATTCTCAGAAACTTCTTCGTGATGTGTGCATTCAAATAATAGAGTTGAACCTTCCCTTTGATAGAGCAGTTTGAAACCCTCTTTTTCTAGATTCTGCAAGTGGATATTTGGAGCACTCCAAGGCCTATGGCAGAAAAGGAAATATCTTCATATAAAAACTAGACAGAAGCATTCTCAGGAACTACATTGTGATGTGTGCATTCAAATCCCAGAGTTGAACCTTTGTTTTTATAGAGCAGTTTTGAAACATTCTTTCTGTAGAATCTGCAAGTGGATATTTGGAGCCCATTGAAGCCTATGCTAGAAAAATAAATATCTTCATATAAAAACTAGACAGAAGCATTCTGAGAAACTACCTTCTGATGTGTGCATTGCACTCACACAGTTGTACCTTTCTGTTGTTAGAACAGTTTTGAAACACTCCTTTTGTAGTATCTGCAAGTGGATATTTGGAACGCTTTGAGGCCTTCAATGGAAGTGGGAATAACTTCACATAAAAACTAGACAAAAGCATTCTCAGAAACTACTTTGGGATGTGTGCATTCAACTCACAGAGTTGAACATTTCTTTTGATATAGTACTTTTGAAATACTCTTTTTGTAGAATCTCCAAGTGGACTTTTGGAGAGCTTTGAGGCCTATGGTGGAAAAGGAAATATCTTCACATAAAAACTAGACAGAAGCATTCTCAGAAACTTCTTTGTGATGTTTGCATTCACCTCACAGAGTTGACCATACCTTTTCATAGAGCAGTTTTGAAACACTCTTTTTATAGAATCTTCAAGTGGATATTTGGACTGCTTTGAGGGTTTCGTTGGAAATGGGAATATCTTCACATAAAAACTAGACAGAAGCATTCTCAGAAACTTCTTTGTGACGTGTGCATTCAACTCACAGAGTTGAACTTTCCTTTTGATAGAGCAGTTTTGAAACATTCTTTTTGTAGTATCTGCAAGTGGATATTTGGAACTCTTTGAGGCCTATGGTAGAAAAGGAAATATCTTCACATAAAAAATAGACAGAAGCATTATTAGAAACCACATTGTTATGTATGCATTAAACTCACAGGGTTGAACCTTTCTTTTGATAGAGCAGTTTTGAAACATTCTTTTTGTAGAATTATCAAGTGGACATTTGGAGTGCTTCGAGGCCTATGGTGGAAAAGGAAATATCTTCACATAAAAACGAGACAGAAACATTCCCAGAAACTTCTTTATGATGTTTTCATTCAAATCACAGAGTTAAAAATACTTTTTCATAGAGCAGTTTTGAAACATTCTTTTTGTAGAATCCTCAAGAGTATATTTGGAACACTTTGAGGCCTTCGTTGGAAACGGGAATATCTTCACATAAAAAATGCAAAGAGGCATTCTCAGAAACTTCTTTGTGATGTGTGCATTCAACTCACAGCATTGAACATTCCTTTTCATAGAGCAGTTTTGAAACAGTCTTTTTGTAGAATCTACAAGTGGATATTTTGAGCTCTTTGAGGTCTATGGTGGAAAAGGAAGTGTCTTCACATAAAAAGTAGTCAGAAGCATTCTGAGAAACTTCTTTGTGATATGTGTGTTCAACTCACAGAGTTGAACCTTCCTTTTGATAGAGCAATTTTGAAACCCTCATTTTGAAGGATCTGCAAGTGGATGATTTGGAGCACTTTGAGGTCTTCATTGGAAACGGGCATATCTTCACATAAAAACTAGACAAAAGCATTCTCAGAAATTTCTTTGTGATGGGTGCATTCAACTAAGAGAGTTGAACCTTCCTTTTGATTGAGCAATTTGAACCCTGTTTTTGTAGAATCTGCAAGTGGGTATTTGGAGCGCTCTGAGGCCTTCGGTTGAAACAGGAATAACTTCACATGAAAACTAGACAGAGGCATTCTCAGAAACTTCTTTGTGATGTGTGCATTCAACTCACAGAGTTGAACCTTCTTTTTGATGTAGCAGTTTTGAAACACTCTTTTTGGAGAATCTGCAAGTGGATATGTAGAGTGCTTTGAGGCCTTTAGTTGAAACAGGAATATGTTCACAAAAAAACTAGACAGAAGCATTTTCAGAAACTTCTTTAGATGTGTGCATTCAACTCACATAGTTGAACCTTTCTTTTGATAGAGCAGTTTTGAAACATTCTTTTTGTAGTATCTGCAAGTGGATATTTGGAACTCTTTGAAGCCTGTGGTAGAAAAGGAAACATCTTCATATAAAAAAATAGACAGAAGCATTCTTAGAAACTACATTGTTATGTGTGCATTAAACTCACAGGGTTGAACCTTTCTTTTGATAGAGCAGTTTTGAAACACTCTTTTTGTAGGATCTGTATGTGGATATTTGGAGCACTTTGAGGCCTTCATTGGAAACGGGAATATCTTCACATAAAAACTAGACAGATGCATTCTCAGAAACTACTTTGTGCTGTGTGCATTCAAGTCACAGAGAAGAACCTTCCTATTGACAGAGCAGTTCTGAAATACTCTTTTTGTGGAATCTGCAAGGGGATATTTGGAGCTGTTTGAGGGCTTTGGTGGAAACGGGAATACCTTCACATAAAAACTAGATGGAAGAACTCTCAGAAACTTATTTGTGATCTGTGCATTCAACTCACAGAGTTGTACTTTTCTTTTGATAGAGCAGATTTAAACACTTTTTTGATAGAAGCTGCTAGTGGACATTTGGAGCGCTTTGAGGGCTATGGTGAAAAAGGACATATCTTCACATAAAAACTGGACAGAAGGATTCTCAGAAACTTCTCTGTGATGTGTGCATCAGAGTTATACATCTCTTTTGATAGAGATGTTTTCAAACACTCTTTTTGTAGAATCTGCAGGTGGACATTTGGAGTGCTTTGAGGCCTGTGGTGGAAAAGCAACTATCTTCACATAAAAACTAGACAGAAGCATTCTCAGAAACTACTTTGTGATGTGTGAATTCCACTCACCAAGTTGAACCCTTCTTTTGATAGAGCAGATTTGAAACAATCTTTTTGTAGAATCTGCAACTGGACATTTTGAGAGCTTTGAGGGCTATGGGGGAAAAGGAAATATTTTCACATACAAAGTGGTCAGAAGCATTCTCAGAAACTACTTTGTGATGTGTGCATTCAACACACGGAGTTGAAACTTTCTTTTGATATAGCAGTTTTGAAACAATCTTCTTGTAGAATCTGCAAGTGGATATTTGGAGCAATTTGAGGCCTTTGTTGGAAACGGGAATATCTTCACATAAAAACTAGACAGATGCATTCTGAGAAACTTCTTTGTAATGTGTGCATTCAACTCATAGAGGCGAACCTTATTTTTGATAGAGCAGTTTTGAAACAATCCTTTTGTTGAATCTGCAAGTGAATATTTGGAGCTCTTTGAGGCCTTCTGTGGAAAAGTCAACAACTTCACATAGAAATTAAGCAGAAGCATTCTCAGAAACTACTTTGTGATGTGTGCTGAGTTGAACCTTCCTTTTGATAGAGCAGTTTTGAAACAATCTTTTTGTAGAATCTGCAAGTGGATATTTGGAGCGTTTTGAGGCCTATGGTGGAAAAGGAAATATCTTCACATAAAAACTAGACAGAGGCATTCTCAGAAACTTCTTTGAGATGTGAGCATTCAACTCACACAGTTGAAACTTCTTTTTGATAGAGCAGTTTTGAAACACTCTTTTTCTAGGATCTGCGAGAGGATATTTGGAGTGCTTTGAGGCCTATGGTAGACAAGGAAATATCTCATATAAAAACTAGACAGAAGCATTCTCAGAAACTACTTTGTGATGTGTGTATTCAACACACAGAGCTGAACCTTTCTTTTGATAGAGCAGTTTTGAAACACTCTTTTTGTAGAATCTGCAACTGGACATTTGGAGCGCTTTGAATCCTCTGGTGGAAAAGAAAATATCTTCTCATAAAAAGTAGACAGAAACATTCTCAGAAACTTGTTTGTAATGTGTGCATTCATCTCAGAGAGCTGATCCTTCCTTTTGGTAGAGCAGATTTGAAACAATATTTTTGTAGAGTTTGCAAGTGGGTATTTGGAGCACTTTGGGGTCCATGTTAGAAAAGGAAATATCTTCACACAAAAACTAGACAGAAGCATTCTCAGAAACTTCTCTGTGATGTTTGCATTTAACTCACAGAGTTGAACATACCTTTTCATAGAGGAGTTTTGAAACACTCTTTTTGTAGAATCAGCAATTGGATATTTGGAACGCTTTGAGGCCTTTGTCGGAAATGGGAATATCTTCATTTAAAAACTAGACAGAAGCATTCTCAGAAACTTCCTTGTGATGTGTGAATTCAACTCACAGAGTTGAACTTTTCTTTTGATAGAGCAGTTTTGAAACACTCTTTTTGTAGAATCTGCAAGTGGATATTTGGAGCTCTTTGAGACCTTCAGTGGAAACGGGGATATCTGCAGATAAAAACTAGACAGAAGCATTCTCAGAAATTTCTTTGTGATGTGTGCATTCAACTCATAGAATTGCACCATTTTTTCATAGAGCAGTTTTGAAATATACTTTTTGTAGGATCTCCCAGTGGACATTTGGAACACTTTGAAGCCTGTGGTGGAAAAGGAAATACCTGCACATAAAAAGTAGACAGAAGTATTCTCAGAAACTTCTTTGTGATGTGTGCATTCAACTGACAGAGTTGAACATTCCTTTTCATAGAGCAGTTTTGAAACACTCTTTTGTAGAATCTGCAAGTGGACATTTGGAGCGCTTTGAGGGCTATGGTGGAAAAAGAAATATCTTCACATAAAAACTAGATAGAAGCATTCTCAGAAATGTCTTTGTGATGTTTGCATTCAACTCACAGAGTTGAACATAACTTTACATAGAGCAGTTTTGAAACACTCTTTTTGTGGAATCTGAAAGTGGACATTTGAAGCGCTTTGAGGGCTATGGTGGAAAAGGAAATATCTTCACATAAAAAGTAGGCAGAAGCATTCTCAGAAATTTCTTTGTAATGTTTGAATTCAGCTAACAGATTTGAACATACCTTTTCAGAGAGCAGTTTTGAAACACTCTTTTTGTATAATCTGCAAGTGCATATTTGGACCGCTTTGAGGCCTTCATTGGAAATGGGAATATCTTCACAGAAAAGCTAGACAGAAGCATTCTCAGAAATGTCTTTGTGATGTTTGCATTCAACTCACAGAGTTGAACATAACTTTACATAGAGCAGTTTTGAAACACTCTTTTTGTGGAATCTGAAAGTGGACATTTGAAGCGCTTTGAGGGCTATGGTGGAAAAGGAAATATCTTCACATAAAAAGTAGGCAGAAGCATTCTCAGAAATTTCTTTGTAATGTTTGAATTCAGCTAACAGATTTGAACATACCTTTTCAGAGAGCAGTTTTGAAACACTCTTTTTGTAGAATCTGCAAGTGCATATTTGGACCGCTTTGAGGCCTTCCTTGGAAAAAGGAATATCTTCAAATAAAAACTAGACAGAAACATTCTCAGAAATTTCTTTGTGATGTGTGCATTCAAATCACAGAGTTGAAACTTCCTTTTGATAGAGCAATTTTGAAACAGTCTTTTTGAAGAATCTCCTTGTGGATATTTGGAGTGCTTTGGGGCCTATGGTTGAAACGAGAATATCTTCACATAAGAACTAGACAGAAGCATTCTCACAAACTTCTTTGTGATGTCTGCATTCAACTCCCAGAGATGAACATACCTTTTGATAGAGCAGTTTTGAAACACTCTTTTTGTAGAATCTGCAAGCGGATATTTGGAGCGCCTTGAGGCGTACGGTTGAAACGGGAATATCTTCACATAAGTATTAGAAAGAACGATTCTCAGAACTTCCTTGTTAGGTGTGCATTCAACTCACAGAGTTGAACCTTTCTTTTGATAGGGCAGGGTTGAAACCCTCTTTTTGTAAAATCTGCAAGTGGATATTTGGAGCATTTTGAAGCCATCGTTGGAAACGGGAATGTCTTCACATAAAAAATTTGACCGAAGCATTCTCAGAAACTTCTTTGTGCTGTGTGCATTCAACTCACAGAGTTGAAATTTCTTTCGATAGAGCAGTTTTGAAACAGTCTTTTTGTAGAATCTGCAAGTGGACATTTGGAGCGCTTTGAGGCCTGTGGTGGAAAAGAAAAATATATTCACATAAAGACCAGACAGAAGCATTCTCAGAAACTTCTTTGTGATGTTTGCATTCAACTCCCAGAGATGAACATACCTTTTGATAGAGCAGTTTTGAAACACTCTTTTTGTGGAATCTGCGAATGGTTACTTGGAACGCTTTGAGGCCTTCATTGGAAACGGTAAGATATTCACATAAAACTAGACAGAAGCATTCTCAGTAACTTTTTTGTGCTATGTGATTTCAACTCAGAGAGTTGAACTTTCCTTTTGATAGAGCAGTTTTGAAACACTCCTTTGTAGAATCTGCAAGTGGACATTTGGAGCACTTTGAGGCCTTCAGTGGAAAAGTAAATATCTACACTTAAAAACTAGACAGAAGCATTCTCAGAAACTTCTTTGTAATGTGTGTATTCAACCCACAGAGTTGAACCTCCCTTTTGATAGAGCAGTTTTAAAACACTCTTTTTGTAGAATCTCCAAGTGGATATTTGGAGCTCTTTGAGGTCTATGGTGCAAACAGGAATATCTTCAGATAAAAAGCAGACAGAAGAATTGTCAGAAACTTCTTTGTGATGTGTCCATTCAACTCACAGAGTTGAACCTTCCTTTTGAGAGAGCAGTTTTGAAATTCTCTTTTAGTAGAATGTACAAGTGGATATTTGGAGCACTTTGAGGCCTATGGTAGAAAAGAAAATATCTTCATATAAAAACTAGACAGAAGAATTCTCAGAATCTTCTTTGTGATGTGTGCATTCAACTCACGGAGTTGAACCTTTCTTTTGATAGAGCAGTTTGGAAACACTCTTTTTGTAGAATCTGCAAGTGGCTATTTGGAGCACTTTCAGGCCTATGTTGGACAAGGAAATATCTTCACATAAAAAGTAGACAGAATCATTCTCAGAAACTTCTTTGTGATGTTTACATTGAACTCACAGGGTTAAACATACGTTTTCATAGAGAAGTTTTGAAACACTCTTTTTGTAGAATCTACAGGTGGACATTTGGACTGCTTTGAGGCCTTTGTTGGGAATGGGAACATCTTCACATAAAAACTAGACAGAAGCATTCTCTGAAACTTCTTTTTGATGTGTGCATTCAACTCACAGATTTGAACCTTCCTTTTGATAGAGCAGTTTTGAAAAACTCCTTTTGTCGAATCTGCAAATGGATATTTGGAGTGCTTTGAGGCATACATTTGAAAGGGGAATATCTTCACATAAAAATTAGACTGAACATTCTCATAAACGTCTTTGTGATGTGTGCGTTCAAGTCACAGTGTTGAACCTTTCTTTTGATAGAGCAGTTTTGAAACTCTCTTTTTGTAGGATCCGTAAGTGGACATTTGGAGCACTTTGAAGCCTTTGGTGGAAAAGGAAATATCTTCACATAAAAACTAGACAGAAGCATTGTCAGAAACTTGTTTGTGATGTGTGCACTAAACTCACAGATTTGAACCTTCCTTTTTATAGAGCAGTTTTTGAAACACTGTTTTTGTAGAATCAGCAAGTGGATATTAAGAGCGTTTTGAAGACTACGGTGGAAATGGGACTATCTTCACATAAAAACTAGACGGAAGCATTCTCAGAAACTTCTTTGTGATGTGTGCATTCAAAACAGAGAGTTGAACCTTCCTTTAGATAGAGCAGTTTTGAAACACTCTTTTTGTGGAATCTGCAAGTGGATATTTGCAGCGCTTTGAAGCCTTCATTGGAAAAGGGTATATCTTCACATAAAAACTTGACAGAAGCAATATCAGAAAATTCTTTCTGATGTGTGCATTCAACTCACAGAGTTGAACCTTCCTTTTGATAGAGCAGTTTTGAATCACTCTTTTTGTAGAATCTGCAAGTGGATATTTGGAGCGCTTTGAGGCCTTCGGTTTAAACGGGCATATCTTCACATAAAAACTGGACAGAAGCATTCTCAGGAAGTATCTTTGTGATGTGTGCATTGAACTCACGGAGTTGGACCTTCCTTTTGATAGAGCAGTTTTGAAACATTCCTTTTTAGAATCTGCAAGTGTATATTTGGAGCACTTTGAGGCCGATGGTAGAAAAGGAAATATCTTCATATAAAAACTAGACAGAATCATTCTCAGAATCTACTTTGTGATGTGTGCATTCACCTCACAGAGTTGAAACTTTATTTTGATAGAGCAGTTTTGAAACATTCTTTTTGTAGAATCCACAAGTGGACATTTGGAGAGCTTTGAGGCCTACGGTGGAAACTTAAATATCTTCTCATAAAAACTAGACAGAAGCATTCTCAGAAACTTCTTTGTGATGTTGGCATTCAACTCAAAGAGTTGAACATACCTTTTCATAGAACAGTTTTGAAACAGTCTTTTTGTATCATCTGCAAGTGGATATTTCGACCACTTTGAGGCCTTCGTTGGAAAAGGGAATATCTGCTTATAAAAACTAGACAGTAGCATTCTCAGAAAATCCTTTGTGATGTGTGCATTCAACTCACAGAGCTGAACCTTCCTTTTGATAGAGTGGTTTTGAAACACTCGTTTTGTAGCATCTGCAAGTGGATATTTGTAGCGCTTTGAGGCCTGTGGTGGAAACGGGAATATCTTCACATAAAAACTAGACAGAAGCATTCTCAGAAACTTCTTTGTGATGTGTGCATTCAAATAAGAGAGTTGAACCTTCCTTTAGATAGAGAAGTTTTGAAACACTCTTTTTGTGGAATCTGCAAGTGGATATTTGCAGCGCTTTGAAGCCTTCATTGGAAATGGTAATATCTTCACATGAAAACTTGACAGAAGCAATCTCAGAAACTTCTTTCTGATGTGTGCATTCAACTCACAGAGTTGAACCTTCCTTTTGATAGAGCAGTTTTGAATCACTCTTTTTGTAGAATCTGCAAGTGGATATTTGGAGTGCTTTGAGGACATCGGTTTAAATGGGCATATCTTCACATAAAAACTAGACAGAAGCATTCTCAGAAATGACTTGTGATGTGTGCATTCAACTCACGGAGTTGAAACTTTCTTTCGATAGAGCAGTTTGGAAACACTCTTTTTGTAGAATCTGCAAGTGGATATTTGGACTGCTTTGAGGCCTTCATTGGAAATGGGAATATCTTCACATAAGAACTAGACAGAAGCATTCTCAGAAACTTCTTTGTGATGTCTGCATTCAGCTCACAAATTTGAATCTTCCTTTTGATAGAGCAGTTTTGAAATACTCTTTTTGTAGAATCTGCAAGCAGATATTTGGAGCACCTTGAGGCCTACGGTTGAAACGGGAATATCTTCACATAAACACTAGAAAGAACGATTCTCAGAAACTACCTTGTTATGTGTGCATTGAACTCACAGAGTTGAACCTTCCTTTTGATAGAGCAGTTTTGAAACTCTCTTTTTGTAGAATCTGCAAGTGGATATTTGGACAGCTTTGAGGTCTTCACTGGAAATAGGAATATCTTCACATAAGAACTATACAGAAACATTCTCAGAAACTTCTTTGTGATGTCTGCATTCAGCTCACAAATTTGAACCTTCCTTTTGAAAGGGCAGTTTTGAAACACTCTTTTTGTAGAATCTGCAAGCTTATACTTGGAGCACCTTGAGGCCTATGGTTGAAGGGGGAATATCTTCACATAAACACTAGAAAGAACAATTCTCAGAAACTACCTTATGTGTGCATTAAACTCACAGAGTTGAACCTTACTTTTGATAGAGCAGTTATGAAACACTCTTTTTGTACAATCTGCAAGAGGATATTTGGAGCACTTTGAAGCCATCGCTGGAAACGGGAATATATTCACATAAAAAGTAGACAGAAGCATTGTCAGAAACTTCTTTGTGATGTGTGCATTCTACTCTCAGAGTTGAACCTTCCTTTTAATAGAGCAGTTTTGAAATACTCTTTTATTAGAATGTGCAAGTGGATATTTGGAGCTCTTTGAGGCCTATGGTAGAAAAGGAAATATCTTCATATTAGTACTAGACAGAAGCATTCTCAGAAACTACTTTGTGATGTGTGCATTCAACTCACAGAGTTGAACATTTCTTTTGATACAGCACTTTTGAAACTCTCTTTTTGTAAAATCTGCAAGTGGCTATTTGGAGCGCTTTCAGGGGTATGTTGGACAACAAAATATCTTCACATAAAAAGTAGACAGAATCATTCTCAGAAACTTCTTTGTGATGTGTGTATTCAATTCACACAGTTGAACCTTCCTTTTTATATAGCAGCTTTTAAACACTGTATTTGTGGAATCAGCAAGTGGATATTAGGAGCATTTTGAGGACTATGGTGGAAACGGGACTATCTTCACATTAAAACTAGACAGAAGATAGGAACAGCTCCGGTCTACAGCTCCCAGCGTGAGCGACGCAGAAGACGGGTGATTTCTGCATTTCCATCTGAGGTACCGGGTTCATCTCACTAGGGAGTGCCAGACAGTGGGCACAGGCCAGTGTGTGTGCGCACCGTGCGCGAGCCGAAGCAGGGCGAGGCATTGCCTCACCTGGGAAGCGCAAGGGGTCAGGGAGTTCCCTTTCCGAGTCAAAGAAAGGGGTGACGGACGCACCTGGAAAATCGGGTCACTCCCACCCGAATATTGCGCTTTTCAGACCGGCTTAAGAAACGGCGCACCACGAGACTATATCCCACACCTGGCTCGGAGGGTCGTACGCCCACGGAATCGCGCTGATTGCTAGCACAGCAGTCTGAGATCAAACTGCAAGGCGGCAACGAGGCTGGGGGAGGGGCGCCCGCCATTGCCCAGGCTTGCTTAGGTAAACAAAGCAGCCGGGAAGCTCGAACTGGGTGGAGCCCACCACAGCTCAAGGAGGCCTGCCTGCCTCTGTAGGCTCCACCTCTGGGGGCAGGGCACAGACAAACAAAAAGACAGCAGTAACCTCTGCAGACTTCAGTGTCCCTGTCTGACAGCTTTGAAGAGAGCAGTGGTTCTCCCAGCACGCAGCTGGAGATCTGAGAACAGGCAGACTGCCTCCTCAAGTGGGTCCCTGACCCCTGACCCCCGAGCAGCCTAACTGGGAGGCACCCCCCAGCAGGGGCACACTGACACCTCACACGGCAGGGTATTCCAACAGACCTGCAGCTGAGGGTCCTGTCTGTTAGAAGGAAAACTAACAACCAGAAAGGACATCTACACCGAAAACCCATCTGTACATCACCATCATCAAAGACCAAAAGTAGATAAAACCACAAAGATGGGGAAAAAACAGAACAGAAAAACTGGAAACTCTAAAACGCAGAGCACCTCTCCTCCTCCAAAGGAACGCAGTTCCTCACCAGCAACAGAACAAAGCTGGATGGAGAATGATTTTGACGAGCTGAGAGAAGAAGGCTTCAGACGATCAAATTACTCTGAGCTACGGGAGGACATTCAAACCAAAGGCAAAGAAGTTGAAAACTTTGAAAAAAATTTAGAAGAATGTATAACTAGAATAACCAATACAGAGAAGTGCTTAAAGGAGCTGATGGAGCTGAAAACCAAGGCTCGAGAACTACGTGAAGAATGCAGAAGCCTCAGGAGCCGATGCGATCAACTGGAAGAAAGGGTATCAGCAATGGAAGATGAAATGAATGAAATGAAGTGAGAAGGGAAGTTTAGAGAAAAAAGAATAAAAAGAAATGAGCAAAGCCACCAAGAAATATGAGACTATGTGAAAAGACCAAATCTACGTCTGATTGGTGTACCTGAAAGTGATGTGGAGAATGGAACCAAGTTGGAAAACACTCTGCAGGATATTATCCAGGAGAACTTCCCCAATCTAGCAAGGCAGGCCAAGGTTCAGATTCAGGAAATACAGAGAACGCCACAAAGATACTCCTCGAGAAGAGCAACTCCAAGACACATAATTGTCAGATTCACCAAAGTTGAAATGAAGGAAAAAATGTTAAGGGCAGCCAGAGAGAAAGGTCGGGTTACCCTCAAAGGAAAGCCCATCAGACTAACAGTGGATCTCTCGGCAGAAACCCTACAAGCCAGAAGAGAGTGGGGGCCAATATTCAACATTCTTAAAGAAAAGAATTTTCAACCCAGAATTTCATATCCAGCCAAACTAAGCTTCATAAGTGAAGGAGAAATAAAATACTTTATAGACAAGCAAATGCTGAGAGATTTTGTCACCACCAGGCCTGCCCTAAAAGAGCTCCTGAAGGAAGCGCTAAACATGGAAAGGAACAACTGGTACCAGCCGCTGCAAAATCATGCCAAAATGTAAAGACCATAGAGACTAGGAAGAAACTGCATCAACTAATGAGCAAAATCACCAGCTAACATCATAATGACAGGATCAAATTCACACATAACAATATTAACTTTAAATATAAATGGACTAAATTCTGCAATTAAAAGACACAGACTGGCAAGTTGGATAAAGAGTCAAGACCCATCAGTGTGCTGTATTCAGGAAACCCATCTCACGTGCAGAGACACACATAGGCTCAAAATAAAAGGATGGAGGAAGATCTACCAAGCAAATGGAAAACAAAAAAAGGCAGGGGTTGCAATCCTACTCTCTGATAAAACAGACTTTAAACCAACAAAGATCAAAAGAGACAAAGAAGGCCATTACATAATGGTAAAGGGATCAATTCAACAAGAGGAGCTAACTATCCTAAATATTTATGCACCCAATACAGGAGCACCCAGATTCATAAAGCAAGTCCTGAGTGACCTACAAAGAGACTTAGACTCCCACACATTAATAATGGGAGACTTTAACAACCCACTGTCAACATTAGACAGATCAACGAGACAGAAAGTCAACAAGGATACCCAGGAATTGAACTCAGCTCTGCACCAAGCAGACCTAATAGACATCTACAGAACTCTCCACCCCAAATCAACAGAATATACATTTTTTTCAGCACCACACCACACCTATTCCAAAATTGACCACATACTTGGAAGTAAAGCTCTCCTCAGCAAATGTAAAAGAACAGAAATTATAACAAACTATCTCTCAGACCACAGTGCAATCAAACTAGAACTCAGGATTAAAAATCTCACTCAAAGCCGCTCAACTACATGGAAACTGAACAACCTGCTCCTGAATGACTACTGGGTACATAACGAAATGAAGGCAGAAATAAAGATGTTCTTTGAAACCAACGAGAACAAAGACACCACATACCAGAATCTCTGGGACGCATTCAAAGCAGTGTGTAGAAGGAAATTTATAGCACTAAATGCCTACAAGAGAAAGCAGGAAAGATCCAAAATTGACACCCTAACATCACAATTAAAAGAACTAGAAAAGCAAGAGCAAACACATTCAAAAGCTAGCAGAAGGCAAGAAATAACTAAAATCAGAGCAGAACTGAAGGAAATAGAGACACAAAAAACCCTTCAAAAAATCAATGAATCCAGGAGCTGGTTTTTTGAAAGGATCAACAAAATTGATAGACCGCTAGCAAGACTAATAAAGAAAAAAAGAGAGAAGAATCAAATAGACACAATAAAAAATGATAAAGGGGATATCACCACCGATCCCACAGAAATACAAACTACCATCAGAGAATACTACAAACACCTCTACGCAAATAAACTAGAAAATCTAGAAGAAATGGATACATTCCTCGACACATACACTCTCCCAAGACTAAACCAGGAAGAAGTTGAATCTCTGAATAGACCAATAACAGGCTCTGAAATTGTGGCAATAATCAATAGTTTACCAACCAAAAAGAGTCCAGGACCAGATGGATTCACAGCCGAATTCTAACAGAGGTACAAGGAGGAACTGGTACCATTCCTTCTGAAACTATTCCAATCAATAGAAAAAGAGGGAATCCTCCCTAACTCATTTTATGAGGCCAGCATCATTCTGATACCAAAGCCGGGCAGAGACACAACCAAAAAAGAGAATTTTAGACCAATATCCTTGATGAACATTGATGCAAAAATCCTCAATAAAATACTGGCAAACCAAATCCAGCAGCACATCAAAAAGCTTATCCACCATGATCAAGTGGGCTTCATCCCTGGGATGCAAGGCTGGTTCAATATATGCAAATCAATAAATGTAATCCAGCATATAAACAGAGCCAAAGACAAAAACCACATGATTATCTCAATAGATGCAGAAAAAGCCTTTGACAAAATTCAACAACCCTTCATGCTAAAAACTCTCAATAAATTAGGTATTGATGGGACGTATTTCAAAATAATAAGAGCTATCTATGACAAACCCACAGCCAATATCATACTGAATGGGCAAAAACGGGAAGCATTCCCTTTGAAAACTGGCACAAGACAGGGATGCCCTCTCTCACCGCTCCTATTCAACATAGTGTTGGAAGTTCTGGCCAGGGCAATCAGGCAGGAGAAGGAAATAAAGGGTATTCAAGTAGGAAAAGAGGAAGTCAAATTGTCCCTGTTTGCAGACGACATGATTGTTTATCTAGAAAACCCCATCGTCTCAGCCCAAAATCTCCTTAAGCTGATAAGCAACTTCAGCAAAGTCTCAGGATACAAAATCAATGTACAAAAATCACAAGCATTCTTATACACCAACAACAGACAAACAGAGAGCCAAATCATGGGTGAACTCCCATTCACAATTGCTTCAAAGAGAATAAAATACCTAGGAATCCAACTTACAAGGGATGTGAAGGACCTCTTCAAGGAGAACTACAAACCACTGCTCAAGGAAATAAAAGAGGACACAAACAAATGGAAGAACATTCCATGCTCATGGGTAGGAAGAATCAATATCGTGAAAATGGCCATACTGCCCAAGGTAATTTACAGATTCAATGCCATCCCCATCAAGCTACCAATGACTTTCTTCACAGAATTGGAAAAAACTACTTTAAAGTTCATATGGAACCAAAAAAGAGCCCGCATTGCCAAGTCAATCCTAAGCCAAAAGAACAAAGCTGGAGGCATCACACTACCTGACTTCAAACTATACTACAAGGCTACAGTAACCAAAACAGCATGGTACTGGTACCAAAACAGAGATATAGATCAATGGAACAGAACAGAGTCCTCAGAAATAATGCCACATATCTACAACTATCTGATCTTTGACAAACCTGAGAAAAACAAGCAATGGGGAAAGGATTCCCTATTTAATAAATGGTGCTGGGAAAACTGTCTAGCCATATGTAGAAAGCTGAAACTGGATCCCTTCCTTACACCTTATACAAAAATCAATTCAAGCTGGAATAAAGATTTAAACGTTAGACCTAAAACCATAAAAACCCTAGAAGAAAACCTAGGCATTACCATTCAGGACATAGGCGTGGGCAAGGACTTCATGTCCAAAACACCAAAAGCAATGGCAACAAAAGCCAAAATTGACAAATGGGATCTAATTAAACTAAAGAGCTTCTGCACAGCAAAAGAAACTACCATCAGAGTGAACAGGCAACCTACAACATGGGAGAAAATTTTCGCAACCTACTCATCTGACAAAGGGCTAATATCCAGAATCTACAATGAACGCAAACAAATTTACAAGAAAAAAACAAACAACCCCATCAAAAAGTGGGCGAAGGACATGAACAGACACTTCTCAAAAGAAGACATTTATGCAGCCAAAAAACACATGAAGAAATGCTCATCATCACTGGCCATCAGAGAAATGCAAATCAAAACCACTATGAGATACCATCTCACACCAGTTAGAATGGCAATCATTAAAAAGTCAGGAAACAACAGGTGCTGGAGAGGATGTGGAGAAATAGGAACACTTTTACACTGTTGGTGGGACTGTCAACTAGTTCAACCATTGTGGAAGTCAGTGTGGCGATTCCTCAGGGATCTAGAACTAGAAATACCATTTGACCCAGCCATCCCATTACTGGGTATATACCCAAAGGACTATAAATCATGCTGCTATAAAGACACATGCACACGTATGTTTATTGCGGCACTATTCACAATAGCAAAGACTTGGAACCAACCCAAATGTCCAACAATGATAGACTGGATTAAGAAAATGTGGCACATATACACCATGGAATACTATGCAGCCATAAAAAATGATGAGTTCATATCCTTTGTAGGGACATGGATGAAATTGGAAACCATCATTCTCAGTAAACTATCGCAAGAACAAAAAACCAAACACTGCATATTCTCACTCATAGGTGGGAATTGAACAATGAGATCACATGGACACAGGAAGGGGAATATCACACTCTGGGGACTGTGGTGGGGTCGGGGGAGGGGGGAGGGATAGCATTGGGAGATATACCTAATGCTAGATGACACATTAGTGGGTGCAGCGCACCAGCATGGCACATGTATACATATGTAACTAACCTGCACAATGTGCACATGTACCCTAAAACTTAGAGTATAATAAAAAAAAAAAAAAAAACTAGACAGAAGCATTGTCAGAAATTTCTTTCTGATGTGTGCATTGAACTCAGAGGGTTGAACATTCCTTTTGATAGAGCAGTTATGAAACACTCTTTGTAGAATCTGCAAGTGGATATTTGGAGCGCTTTGAGGCCTTCATTGGAAACAGGGATATCTACGCATAAAAACTAAACAGAAGATTTCTCAGAAGCTTCTTTGTCATGTGTGCATTCAACTCACAGAGGTGAATATTCCTTGTCTTAGACCAGTTTTGAAACATTCTTTTTGTAAAATCTGCAAGTGGATATTTGGAGTGCTTTGTGGACTGTGGTAGAAAAGGAAATATCTGCATATAAAAACTAGACAGAAGCATTCTCTTAAACAAGTTTGTGATGCGTGCATTCAACGCACAGAGTTGAATCCTCCTTTTGATAGGGCAGTTTTGAAACACTCTTTTTGAAAAATCTGCAAGTGGATATTTGGAGGACTTTGAGGCCTGTGGTGGAAAAGGAAATATCTTCAGTTAAAAACTAGACAGAAGCATTCTCAAAAACTACTTTGTGTTGTGTGCATTCAACTCCCTGAGTTGCACTTTTTTTTGATAGAGCAGTTTTGAAACACTCTTTTTGTAGAATCTGCAAGTATGTATTTGGAGCGCTTTGAAACCTTCATCGGAAACAGGAATATCTTCACATAAAATCTAGGCAGAATCATTCTCAGAAACTTCTTCATGATGTGTGCATTCAAATCACAGAGTTGAAACTTCCGTTTGATAGAGCAACTTTGAAACACTGTTTCTAGAATCTGTAAGTGGATATTAGGGGTGCTTTGAGGACTATTTTAGAAAAGAAAATATCCTCATATAAAAACTAGACAGAAAGATTCTCAGAACTTCTTTGTGATGTGTGCATTCAACTCACAGAGTTGAACATTCCTTTTCATAGAGCAGTTTTGAAACTCTTTTTGTAGGACCTGCAAGTGGATATTTCGAGCCCTTTGAGGCCTCCAGAAGAAAAGGAAATATCTTCGTATAAAAACTACACAGAAGCATTCTCAGATACTACTTTGTGATGTGTGCATTCAACTCACAGAGTTGAACCTTTCTTTTGATAGAGCAGTTTTCAAACACTCTTTTTGCAGAATCTGCAATTGGACACTTCGAGGGCTTTGAGGGCAATGTTGGAAAAGGAAATATGTTCACATAAATACGAGACAGAAGCATTCTCAGAAACTACTTTGTGACGTTTTCATTCAACTGACAGAGTTGAACATACCTTTTCATAGAGGAGTTTTGAAACACTCTTTTTGTAGTTTCTGCATTTCGATATTTGGAGCGCTTTGAAGCCTTCTTTGGAAACGGGAATATCTTCACATAAAAAGGAGACAGAAGCATTCCCAGAAACTTCTTTGTGATATTTGCATTCAACTCACAGAGTTTAACCCTTTTTTCGATACAGCAGTTTTGAAACACTCTTTTTGTAGAATCTGCAAGTGGATATTTGGACCACTTTGAGGCTTTCATTGGAAATGGAAAAATCTTCACATAAAAACTAGGCAGAATCATTCTCAGAAACTTCTTTGTGATGTGTGCCTTCAACTCACAGAGTTGAACCTTTCTTTTGATACAGCAGTTTTGAAACACACTTTTTGTAGAATCTGCAAGTGGACATTTCGAGCTCTTTGAGTTTTTCAATGGAAAAAGAAGTATCTTCACATAAATATTTGATAGAAGAATTCTCAGAAACTTCTTTGTGATGTTTGCATTCAACTCACGGAGTTGAACCTTCCTTTTTATAGAGCAGTTCTGAAACACTCTTTTTGTAGAATCTGCAGGTCGTTATTTGGAGTGCTTTGAAGCGCTCATTGTGAACGGGAATATCTTCACATAAAAACTAGACAGAAGCATTCTCAGAAACTTCTTTGTGATGGGTGCATTCAAATCACAGAGCTGAAACTTCCTTTTAATAGAGCAGTTTTGATACACTTTTTTTGTACAACCTGAAAGTGGCTGTTTGGAGTGCTTTGAGGCCAATGGTAGGAAAGGAAATATCTTCACATCAAAACTAGACAGAAGCATTCTCAGAAACTTCTTTGTGATGATTGCATTAAACTCACAGAGTTTAACATACCTTTTCACAGGGCAGTTTTGAAACTCTCTTTTTTTGTAGAATCTGCAAGTGGATATTTGGACGCTTTGCAGCCTTTGTTGGAAACGGGAATATCTTCAAATAAAAACTAGATAGAAGAATTCTCAGAAACTACTTTGTGCTGGGTGCATTCAACTCACAGATTTGAACCTTACTTTTGATAGAGCAGTTTTGAAACACTCTTTTTGTAGAATCTGCATGTAGACATTTGGAGCACTTTGAGGGCTGTGGTGGAAAAAGATATATCTTCACATAAAAACTAGACAGAAGCATTCTCAGAAATTTCTTTGTGATGTTTGCATTCCACTCACAGAGCTGAACATACCTTTTCTTAGAGCAGTTTTGAAACAATCTTTTTGTAGAATCTGCAAGTGGATATTTGGATGGTTTTGAGGTGTTCATTGGAAACGGGAACATCTTCACATAAAAACTAGACAGAAACATTCTCAGAAACTTCTTTGTGATGTGTGCATTCAACTCACAGAAATAAACCTTTCTTTTGAGAGAGCAGTTTTGAAACACTCTTTTTGTAGAATCTGTAAGTGGATATTTGGAGTGCTTTGAGGCCTACGGTGGAAGTGGGAATGACTTTACATAAAAACTAGACAGAAGCATTATCACACACTTCTTTGTGATGTGTGCCTTCAAGTCACAGAGTTGAACCTTTCTTTCAATAGAGCAGTTTTGAAACACTCTTTTTGTAGGATCTGCAAGTGGAAATCTGTAGCGCTTTGTGGGATATATTGGAAAAGGAAATATCTTCACAAAAAAACTACACAGAAGCACTCACAGAATCTTCTTTGTGATGTGGGCATTCAAATCACCGAGTTGAACCTTCTTTTTGATATAGCAGTTTTGAAACACTCTTTTTGTAGAATCTGCAAGTGGGTATTTGGAGCGCTTTGAGGCCTATGTTAGAAAAGGAAATATCTTCACAAAAAAACTAGACAGAAGAATTCTCAGAAACTACTCTGTGATGTGTCCATTCAACTCACAGAGTTGAACCTTTCTTTTGATAGAGCAGTTTTGAAACACTCTTTTTGTAGAATCTGCAAGTTGACATTTGGAGAGCTTTGAGGGCTATGGTGGAAAAGGAAATATCTTCACAAAGAAGCTAGACAGAGGCATTCACAGAGACTTCTTCTGATGTGTGCATTCAACACACAGTGTTTAACCTTCCTTTTGATAGAGCAGTTTTGAAACAGTGTTTTTGTAGGATCTGCAAGTGGATACTTGGAGCGCTATGAGTCCTATGGTGGAAAAGGAAGTCTCTTCACATAAAAAGTAGACAGAAGCATTCTCAGAAACTTCTTCGTGATATGTGCATTCAACTCACAAAATTGAGACTTCCTCTTGATAGAGCAGTTTTTAAACACTCTTTTTGTAAAATCTGCAAGTGGATATTTGGAGCACTTTGAGGGCTATGGTGGAAAAGGAAATATCTTCACATAAAAACTAGACATAAGCCAGTGGATATTTGGAGCGCTTTGATGCTAATGGTAGAAAAGGAAATATCTTCATATATGCACTAGACAGAAGTATTCTCAGAAACTACTTTGTGATGTGTGCATTCAACTCACAGAGTTGAACCTTTCTTTTGAAAGAGCAGTTTTGAAACACTTCTTTTGTAGAATCTGCAAGTGGACCTTGGAAGCGCTGTGAGGGCTATGGTGGAAAAGGAAATATCTTCAGATAAAAACTAGACAGAAGCATTCTCAGAAACATTTTCGTGATGTGTGCATTGAAATCACAGAGTTTAACATTTCTTTTGATTGAGCAGTTTTGAAACACTCCTTTTGTAGAATCTGCAAGTGGACATTTGGAGCACTTTGGGGGCTATGGTGGACAAGGAAATATCTTCACATAAAAACTAGACAAAAGCATTCTCAGAAACTTCTCTGTGATGTTTGCATTCAACTCACATAGTTGAACCTTTCTTTTCATAGAGCAGCTTTGAACCACTCTTTTTGTAGGATCTGCAAGTGAACATCTGGAGCCCTTTGAGGGCTATGGGGAGAAGGATATATCTTCACATAAAGACTAGACAGAAGCATTCTCAGAAACTTCTGTGAGATGTTTGCATTCAACTCACAGAGTTGAACATAACTTTTCATAGAGCAGTTTTGAAACACTCTTTTTCTAATATCTGCAAGTGTGTATTTGGAGCCCTTTGAGGCCTTGGTTGGAAACGGGAATATCTTCACATAAAAACTAGATAGAAGCAATCTGAGAAGCTTCTTTGTGATGTGTGCATTCACCTCACAGAGTTGAACCTTCCTTTTGACAGAGCAGTTTTGAAACACTCTTTTTGTAGAATCTGCAAGTGAACATTTGGAGCGTTTTAAGGGCTACGTTGGAAAAGGAAGTATTTTCAAATAAGAAGTATACAGAAGCATTCTCAGAAACTTTTTTGTGATATGTGCACTCAACTCACAGAGTTGAGCCTTCCTTTTGACAGAGCAGTTTTGAAACACCCTTTTTGTAGGATCTGCAAGTGCATATTTGGAGCGCTTTGAGGCCTGTGGTAGAAAAGGAAATATCTGCATGTAAAAACTAGACAGACGCATTCTCAGAACCTTCTTTGTGATGTGTGAATTCAACTGAAATAGTAGAACCTTCCTTTTGAAAGAGCAGTTTTGAAAAACTCTTTTTGTAGAACTGCAGGTGGATATTTGGAATGCTTTGAAGCCTTCATTGGAAACGACAATATCTTCACATAAACACTAGACAGAAGCATTCTCAGAAACTGCTTTGTGATGTGTGCATTCAACTCACAGAGTTGATCCTTCCTTTTGATAGAGCAGATTTGAAACACGCTTTTTGTATAAACCACAGGTGCATATTTATAACACCTATTTGAGGCCTATGGAAGAAAAGGAAATACCTTCATACAAAACTGGACCGAAGCATTCTCAGAAACTACTCTGTGATGTGTTTATACAACTCACAGAGTCGAAACCCTTCTTTTGATAGAGCAGTTTTGAAACCCTCTTTTTGTAGAATCTATAAATGGACATTTGGAGCGCTTTGAGGGCCATGGTGGAAATGGAAATATCTTCACCTAAAAACTAGACGGAAGCATTCCCAGAAACTTCTTTGTGACAATTGTATTCAACTCACAGAGTAGTACATACCTTATCATAGAGCAGTTTTGAAATACTCTTTTTGTAGAACCTGAAAGTGGATATTTTGAGTGCTTTGAGGCCTACAGCTGAAACGGGAATATCTTCACATAAAAACTAGACAGAAGAATTCTCAGAAACAACTTTGTGACGTGTGCATTCAAATCACAGAGTTGAACATTCCTTTTCATAGAGCAGTTTTGAAACACCCTTTTTGTTGAATCAGCAAGTGGACATTTGGAGTGTTTTGAGGCCTTCAGTGTAAAAGGAAATATCTTCACATAAAAACTAGAGAGAAACATTCTCAGAAACTTCTGGTGATGTCTGCATTCAACTCACACAGTCGAACATACCTTTCCATAGAGCAGTTTTGAAGCACTCCTTTTGTAGAATCTGCAAGTGGATATTTGGCCCGATTTGAGTCCTTCGTTGGAAACGGGAATATCTTCACATAAAAATAAGACAGAAGCAGTCTCAGAAACTCCTTTGTGAAGAGTGCATTCAACTCACAGAGTTGAACATTCCTTTTCATAGAACAGCTTTGAAACAGTCCTTTTGTAGAATCTGCAAGTGGATATTTGCAGCAGTTTGAGGCCTATGTTGGAAAAGGATGTAGCTTCACATAAAAAGTGGACAGAGGCATTCTCAGAAACTTCCTTGTGATGTGTGCATTCAACTCACATAGTTGAACCTTGCTTTTGATAGAGCAGTTTTGAAACACTTTTTATAGAATCTGCAAGTGGGTATTTGGAGCGCCTTGAGGCCTATGGCAGAAAAGGAAATATCTTCATATAAAAACTAGACAGAAACATTCTCAGAAACTTCTTTGTAATGTTTGCATTCAACTCACAGAGCTGAACATAACTTTTCATAGAGTGGCTTTGAAACACTCTCTTTGTAGAATGTGCAGGAGGATATTTGGAGCGCTTTGAGAACTTCTTTGGAAAAAGGAATATCTTCTCATAAAAACTAGACAGAGGCATTCTCAGAAACTTCTTTGTGATGTGTGCATTCAACTCGCAGAGTTGAACTTTCCTTTTGTTAGAGCAGTTTTGAAACACTCTTTTTGTAGAATCTCCAACGTGGATATTTTGTGTGCTTTGAGGCCTACAGTTGAAATGGGAATACCTTCACATATAAACTAGACAGAAGCATTCTCAGAAACTTCATTGTGATGTGCGCATTTAACTCACAGAGTTGAACCTTTCTTTCCACAGTACAGTTTTGAAACACTCTTTTTGTAGAATCTGCAAGTTGGCATTTGGAGTGCTTTGAGGGCTATGGTGGAATAGGAAATATCTTCACAAAAAAACTAGACAGAAGCATTCACAGAAACTTCTTGTGATGTGTGCATTGAACTCACAGAGTTGAACCTGCCTTTTGATAGAACAGGTTTGACACACTCTTTTTGTAGACTCTGCAAGTGGATATTTGGAGCCCTTTGAGGCCTATGGTAGAAATGGAAATATCTTCATACAAAAACTAGACAGAATCATTCTCAGAAACTACTTTGTGTTGTGTGCATTCAACTCAGAGATTTGAAAATTTCTTTTGATAGAGCAGTTTTGAAGCACTCTTTTTGTAGAATCTGCAAGTTGACTTTTGGAGCACTTTGAGGGCTGTGGTGGAAAAGGAAATAGCTTCACGTAAAAACTAGACAGAAGCATTCTCAGAAACTTTCTTGTGATGTGTGCATTCAACTCACAGAGTTGAACATTCCTTTTCATAGAGCAATTTGGAAACAGTCTTTTTGTAGAATCTGAAGGGGATAATTTTAGCGCTTTGAGGCCTATGGTGGAAAAGAAGTATCGTCGCATAAAAAGCAGACAGAAGCCTTCTCAGAAACTTCTTTGTGATGTGTTCATTCAACTCACAGAGTTAAACCTTCCTTTTGATACAACAGTTTTGAAACACTCTTTTTGTATAATCTCCAAGTGGATATTTGGAGTGCTTTGAGCTTTTGGTAGAAAAGGTAATACCTTCCTGTAAAAACTAGACATAAGCATTCACAGTAACTACGTTGTGGTATGTGAATTCAACTCACAGAGTTGAAACTTTCTTTTTACAGAGCAGTTTTGAAACACTCTTTTTGTAGAATCTGCAATTGGACATTTAGAGTGCTTTGAGTGTTCTTGTTGAAAAGGAAATATCTTCACATAAAAACTAGACAGAAGATTTCTCAGAAACTTCTTTGTGATGTTTGCATTCAACTCACAGATTGGAACATACCTTTTCATAGAGCACTTTTGATACAATCTTATTGTAGAATCTGCAAGTGGATATTGAGAATGCTTTGAGGCCTTCGTTGGAAACGGGAATATCTTGACATAAAAGCTTGACAGAAGCTTTCTCAGAAACTTCTTTGTGATGTGTGTATTCATCTCACAGAGTTGAATCTTCCTTTTGATACAGCAGTTTTTAAACGCTCTTTTTTTAGAATCTGCAAGTGGATATTTGGAGCGCCCTGAGGGTTATGGTGGAAAAGGAAATATCTTCACATAAACACTAGACAGAAGCTAGTGCATATTTGGAGCACTTTGAGGCCTATGTTGGAAATGGAAATATCTTCATACAAAAACTAGACGGAATCATTCTCAGAAACTACTTTGTGATGTGTGCATTCAACTCACAGAGTTGAACTATTATTTTGATACAGAAGTTTTGAAACAATTTTTTGTAGGATCTGCAAGTGGACAATTGGAGTGCTTTGTGGGCTATGGTGGAAAAGGAAATATCTTCACATAAACACTAGACAGAAGCATTCTCTGAAAATTCTGTGTGATGTTTGCATTCAACTCACAGAGTTGAACATAACTTTTCATAGAGTAGTTTTGAAACACTCTTTTTGCAGAATGTGCAAGAGGATATTTTGAGAGCTTTGAGGCCTTTGTTGGAAACGGGAATATCTTCAAATAAAAACTAGACAGCATTCTGAGAAAATTATTTGTGATGTGCGCATTCAACTCGCAGAGTTGAAACTTTCTTTTGATAGAGCAGTTTTGAAACACTCTTTTTGTAGAATCTGCAAGTGGACGTTTGGAGCATTCTGAGGCCTGTGGTAGAAAAGGAAATATCTTCACATAAAAACTAGACAGAAGCATTCTCAGAAACTTCTTTGGATGTGTGCATTCAACTCAAAGAGTTGAACATTCTTTTTCATAGAGCAGTTTTGAAAAGGTCTTTCTGTAGGATCTGCAAGTAGATATTTGGAGGGTTTGGAGGCCTATGGTGGAAAAGGAAGTCTCTTCACATAAAAAGTAGACAGAAGCATTCTCAGAAACTTCTTTGTGATATGTGCATTCAACTCACAGAGTTGAACCTTCCTTTTGATAGAGCAGATTTTAAGCACTTTTTTTGTAAAATCTTCAAGTGGACATTTGGAGCGCTTTGAGGGCTATGATGGAAAAGGAAATATCTTCCCATAAAAACTAGACATAAGCCCGTGGATATTTGGAGCACTTTGAGGCCAATGGTAGAAAAGGAAATATCTTCATATATAAACTAGACAGAAGCATTCTCAGAAACTACTTTGTGATGTGTGCATTCAACTCACAGAGTTGAACCTTTCTTTTGAAAGAGCAGTTTTGAAACACTTCTTTTGTAGAATTTGCAAGTGGACCATTGGAGCGCTGTGAGGGCTACGGTGGAAAAGGAAATATCTTCAGATAAAAACTAGACAGAAGCATTCTCAGAAACATTTTCGTGATGTGTGCATTGAAATCACAGAGTTTAACATTTCTTTTGATTGAGCAGTTTTGAAACACTCCTTTTGTAGAATCTGCAAGTGGACATTTGGAGCACTTTGGGGGCTATGGTGGATAAGGAAATATCTTCAGGTAAAAACTAGACCCAAGCATTCTCAGAAACTTCTCTGTGATGTTTGCATTCAACTCACATAGTTGAACCTTTCTTTTCATAGAGCAGCTTTGAACCACTCTTTTTGTAGAATCTGCAAGTGAACCTTTGGAGCCCTTTGAGGGCTATGGTGGAAAAGGATATATCTTCACATAAAGACTAGACAGAAGCATTCTCAGAAACTTCTGTGAGATGTTTGCATTCAACTCACAGAGTTGAACATAACTTTTCATAGAGCAGTTTTGAAACACTCTTTTTCTAAAATCTGCAAGGGTGTATTTGGAGCCCTTTGAGGCCTTGGTTGGAAACGGGAATATCTTCACATAAAAACTAGACAGAAGCATTCTGAGAAGCTTCTTTGTGATGTGTGCATTCAACTCACAGAGTTGAACCTTCCTTTTGACAGAGCAGTTTCGAAACACTCTTTTTGTAGAATCTGCACGTGAATATTTGGAGCATTTTAAGGGCTATGTTGGAAAAGGAAATATCTTCACATAAAAACTAGATAGAAGCATTCTCAGAAACTTCTTTGTGATGTGTGCATTCAACTCACAGAGTTGAACATACCTTTTCATAGAGCTGTTTTGAAACAGTTTTTTTGTAGAATCCACAATTGGATATTTTGAGTGCTTTGTAGCCTTCATTGGAAACTGGAATATCTTCACATAAAAACTAGAGAGAATCATTCTGAGAAACTTCTTTGTGATGCGTGCATTCAACTCATAGAGGTGAGCCTTCCTTTTGATAGAGCAGTTTTGAAACACACTTTTTGTAGAATCTGCAAGTGGACATTTGGAGCACTTTGAGACCTATGGTGGAAAAGGAAATATCTTCACAGAAAAGCCAGACAGAAGCATTCTCAGAAACTTCTTTGTGATGTTTGCATTCAACTAATGGATTTGAACTTTCCTTTTGAAAGAACAGTTTTGAAACACTCTTTTTGTAGAATCTGCAAGTCGATATTTGGACCGCTTTGAGGCCTTCATCAGAAACGGGGTTATCCTCACATAAAAACTAGACAGAAGCATTCTAGGAAACTACTTTGTGATGTGTGCATTCAACACACAGAGTTGAACATTCCGTTTCATAGAGCAGTTTTTAAACACTCTTTTTGTAGAATCTTCAAGTGGATATTTGGAGGACTTTGAGGCCTCTAGTAGAAAAGGAAATATATTCATATAAAAACTAGACAGAAGCATTCCCAGAAACTTCTTTGTGATGTGTGCATTCAACTCATAGGTTTGAATCTTCCTTTTGGAAGAGCAGTTTTGAAACACTCTTTTTGGAAAATCTGCAAGTGGATATTTGGACCACTTTGAAGACTTCATTGGAAACGGGAATATCTTCACATAAAAACTAGACAGAAGAATTCTCAGAAACTTCTTTGTACTATGTGCATTCAACTCACAGATTTGACCTTTCTTTTGATAGAGCAGTTTTGAAACACTCTTTTTGGAAAATCTGCAAGTGGATATTTGGACCACTTTGAAGACTTCATTGGAAACGGGAATATCTTCACATAAAAACTAGACAGAAGAATTCTCAGAAACTTCTTTGTACTATGTGCATTCAACTCACAGATTTGACCTTTCTTTTGATAGAGCCGTTTTGAAACACCATTTTTGTAGAATCTGCAAGTGGACATTTGGATCACCTTGAGCATTATGGTCGAAAAGGAAATATCTTCACATAAAGACCAGACAGAAGCATTGTCCGAAACTCCTTTGTGTTGTTTGCATTCAACTCAAAGAGTTGAACCTTTCTTTTCATAGAGTAGTTTGAAACACTCTTTTTGTAGAATCTGCGAGTGTATATTTGGACTGCTTTGAGGTCTTCGTTTGAAACGGGAATATGTCCACATAAAAACGAGACAGAAGCATTCTCAGAAACTACTTTGTGATGTGTGGATTCTACTCAAAGAGTTGAACCTTCCTTTTGATAGGGCAGTTTTGAAACCCTCTTTTTGTAGAATCTTCAAGTGGATATTTGGAACGATTTGAGTCCTCTGGTAGAAAAGGAAATGTATTCATATGAAAACTAGACAGAATCATTCACAGAAACTTCTTCACAAAGTGCACATTCAGCTCACAGATTAGAACCTTCCTTTTGATAGAGCAGTTTTGAAACACTCTTTTTTTAGAATCTTCATGTGTATATTTGGAGTGCTTTGAGGCCTATGTAGAAAAGGACGTATCTTCATATAAAAGCTAGACAGAAGCGTTCTCAGAACTACTGTGCGATATGTGTATTCAACTCACAGAGTTTAAACTTTCTTTTGATAGAGCAGTTTTGAAACTCTCTTTTTATGGAATCTGCAAGTGGACATTTGGAACACTTTGAGGGCTATGGTGGAAAAGGAAATATCTTCACATGAAAACTAGATAGAAGCATTCTCAGAAACTTCTTTGTCATGTGTGCATTCAACTCACAGAGTTCAACCTTCCTTTTGATAGAGCAGTTTTGAAACACTGTATTGTAGAATCTGCAAGTGGATATTTGGACTGCTTTGAGGCCTTCATTGGAAACGGGAATGTCTTCACATAGACACTAGACAGAAGAACTCTCAGAAACTACATTGTGATGTGTGTATTCAACTCACAGAGACGAACCTTTCTTTTGATAGAGCAGTTTTGGAAAACTCTTTTTGTAGAATCTGCAAGAGCACATTAGGAGGGCTTTGTGGGCTATGGTAGTAAAGGAAATATCTTCACTTGAAAAGTAGACAGAAACATTCTCAGAAACTTGTTTGTGATGTATGCTATCAACTCACAGAGTTGAACATATCTTTTAATAGAGCAATTTTGAAACAATCTTTTTGTAGAATCTGCAACTGGATATTTGGACCACCTGAAGCCTTCGTTGGAAACCGGTTTATCTTCACATAAAAATTAGACAGAAGCATTCTCAGAAACTACTTTGTGATGTGTGCATTGAACTCACAGATTTGAACCTTTGTTTTGATAGAGTAGTTTTGAAACACTTTTTGTAGAATCTGCAGGTAGATATTGGGAATGATTTGAAGCCTTCGTTGGAAACGGGAATATCTACACATAAAAACTATACAGAAGCATTCTCATAAACTTCTTTGTGATGAGTGCATTCAACTCATAGAATTGAACCTTCCTTTTGATAGAGTAGTTCTGAAATACCTTCTTTGAAGAATCAGCAAGTGAATATTTGGAGTGCTTCGAGGCCTATGGTAGAAAAGGAAATGTCTTTATATAAAAACTAGACAGAAGTATTCTCAGAAACTACTTTGTGATGTGTGCATTCATCTCACAGGATTCAATATTTCTTTGGATCTAGCAGTTTTGAAGCACTCTTTTTGTAGAATCTGCAGGTGGACATCTGGAGCATTTTAAGGGCTATTGTGGAAAAGGAAATATCTTCACATAAAAACCAGACAAAAGCATTCTCAGAAACTTCCTTTTGATGTTGCCATTCAACTCTCAGAGTTGAACATACCTTCTCATAGAGTAGTTTGGAAACACACTTTTTGTAGAATCTACAAGTGGACATTTCAAGCTCTTTGACACCTTCGGTGGAAAAGCAAGTATCTTCACATAAAAACTAGACAGAAGCATTCGCAGAAACTTGTTAGTGATGTGTGCATTCAACTCACAGAGTTGAACCTTCCTTTTCATAGAGCAGTTTTGAAACACTCTTTTTGTAGAATCTGCAGGTGGATATTTGGAGTGCCTTGAGCCTTCAATGGAAACGGGAATATCTTCACCTAAAAAATAGACAGAAGCATTCTCAGAAACTTCTTTGTGATGTTTACATTCAACTCACAGAGTTGAAACTTCCTTTTTATAGAGCAGTTGTGAAGCATTATTTATGTAGAATATGCAGGTGGATAGTGTAGTGCTTTGAAGCCTTCGTTGGAAACAGGAATATCGCCACATAAAAACTAGACAGAAGCATTCTCAGAAACTTCTTTGTGATGTGTGCATTCAACTCACAGAGTTGAACTTTCCTTTTGATAGAGGAGTTTTGAAATCCTCTTTGTGTAGAATCTGTAAGTGGACATTTGCAACACTCTGAGGGCTATGGTGGTAAGGGAAATATCTTCACATGAAAACCAGACAGAAGCATTCTCAGAAACTTCTTTGTGATGTTGGCATTCAACTCACAGAGTTGAATATACCTTTTTGTATAGCAGTTTTGAAACACTCTTTTTGTAGAATCTGCAAGTGGATATTTGGACCGCTTTGAAACTTTCGATGAAAACGGGAATATCTTTTCATAAAAACTAGACAGAAGCATTCTCAGAAACTTCTTTGTGATGTGTACATTCAACGCACAGAGTTAAACCTTCCTTTTGATAGAACAGTTTTGAAATACTCTTTGTAGAATCTGCAAGTGGATATTTGGAGCCATTTGAGGCCCATGTTAGAAAAGGAAATATCTTCATATAAAAACTAGACAGAAGCATTCTGTGAAACTACTTTGTGATGTCTGCATTCAACTCATGGAGTTGAAGCTTTCTTTTGATAGAGCAGTTTGAAACACTCTTTTTGTAGAATCTGCAAGTGGACATTTGGAGCACTTTGAGGGCTCTGGTGGAAAAGGAAATATTCTCCCATAAAAACTATAAAGAAGCGTTCTCAGAAACTTTTTTGTGATGTTTGAATTCAACTCACAGATTGGAACATACCTTTTCATAGAGCACTTTTGATACACTCTTTTTGTATAATCTGCAAGTGGATATTTTCAGTGCTTTGAGGAGTTCATTGGAAATGGGAATACCTTCACATAAAAACTAGACGGAAGCATTCTCAGAAAATATTCTGTGATGTGTGAATTCAACTCACAGAGTTGAACCTTCCTTTTGATAGAGCAGTTTTGAAACACTCTTTTTGTAGAATCTGCAAGTGGATATTTGGAGGGCTTTGAAGACTTCTTTGGAAAAGGAAGTATCTTCACATAAAAACTAGACAGAAGCACTCTCAGAAATTTCTCTGTGACGTTTGCATTCAACTCACATAGTTGAAACTTCCTTTTGATAGGGCAGCTTTGAAACACTCTTTTTGTAGAATCTGCAAGTGGATATTTGGAGCCCTTTGTGGCCTAAGGTAGAAAAGGAAATAACTTCATATAAAAACTACCCAGAAGCATTCTCCGAAACTACTTTGTGATATGTGCATTCAACTCACAGGGTTTAACCTTTCTTTTGATAATGCAGTTTTGAACCACTCTTTTCGTGAAATCTGCAAGTGGACATTTGGAGCACTTTGAGGGCTGTGGTGGAAAAGGAAATATCTTCACGTATTACTAGACAGAAACATTCTCTGAAACTTCTTTGTGATGTTTGCATTCAATTCACGGAGTTGAACTTTTATTTTCATCGACCAGTTTTGAAACACTCTTTTTGTGGAATCCACAAGTTGACATTTGGAGCACTTTGTGGGATGTCGTTGAAAAGGAAATATCTTCACATGAAAACTAGACAGAAGCATTCTCAGAAACTTCTTTGTGATGTTTGTCTTCAAATCACAGACTTGCACATAAGTTTACAAAGAGCAGTTTTGAAACACTCTTTGCAGAATCTGCAAGTGGAAGTTTGGACCGCTTTCAGACCTGCTTTGGAAATGGGAATATCCTAACATAAACTCTAGACAGAAGCATTCTCATAAATTTCTTGTGATGTGTGCATTCAACTCACAAAGTTGAACCTTCCTTTTGATAGGGCAGTTTTGAAACACTCTTTTTGTAGAATCTGCAAGTGGATATTTGGAGACCTTTGTTGCCTATGATACAAAAGGAAATATTTTCAAGTAAAAACTAGACAGAAGCATTCTCTGAAACTTCTTTCTAATGTTTGCATTCAATTCACAGAGTTGAAACTTTATTTTCATAGACCAGTTTTGAAACACTCTTTTTGTGGTATCCACAAGTTGACATTTGGAGCACTTTGTGGGATGTCGTGGAAAAGGAAATATGTTCACATGAAAACCAGACAGAAGCATTCTCAGAAACTTCTTTGTGATGTTTGTATTCAACTCACAGACTTGCACATACGTTTACAAAGAGAAGTTTTGAAACACTCTTTGTAGAATCTGCAAGTGGAAGTTTGGACGGCTTTGAGACCTTTGGAAACGGGAATAACCTAACATAAACTCTAGACAGAAGCATTCTCAGAAATTTCTTGTGATGTATGCATTCAACTCACAAAGTTGAACCTTCCTTTTGATAAGGCAGTTTTGAAACACTATTTTTGTATAATCTGCAAGTGGACATTTGGAGCGCATTGAGGGCTATGGTGGAAAAAGAAATATCCTCACATAAAAACTAGAGAGAAGCATTCTCAGAAATTTCTTTGTGATGTTTAAATTCAACTCACAGAGTTGAAGATACCTTTTCATAGAGCAGTTTTGAAACACTCTTTTTGTACAATCTGCAAGTGCATATTTTGAGCACTTTGAAGCCATTGTTGGAAATGGGAATATCTTCACATAAAAACTAGACAGAAGCATTTTCAGAAACTTTTTTGTGATGTGTGTATTCAGCTCACAGAGTTGAAACTTTCTTTTGATAGAGCAATTTTAAAACACTCTTTTCGTAGAATCTGCAAGTGGATATTTGGATTGTTTTGAAGCCTTCGTTGGAAAAGCAAGTATCTTCACATAAAAACTAGACAGAAGCATTCTCAGAAACTTCTTTGCGATGTTTGCATTCATCGCACATAGTTGAACCTTCCTTTTGATAGAGCAGTTTTGAAACACTCTTTTTGTAGAATCTGCAAGTGGATATTTGGAGCCCTTTGTGGCCTATTGTAGAAAAGCAAATATCTTCATATAAAAACTAGACAGAAGCATTCTCAGAAACTTCCTTGTGATGCAGTGGATTCAACTCACAGAGTTGAACCTTCCTTTTGATAGAGCCATTTTGAAACACTCTTTTTGTAGAATCTGCAAGTGGATATTTGGAGTGCTTTGAAGCCATTGTTGGAAAAGGAAGTAGCTTCACATAAAAACTAGACAGAAGCATTCTCAGAAACTTCTTTGTGATGTGTGCATTCAACTCACAGAGTTGAACGTTCCTTTTGAATGAGCAGTTTTGAAACACTCTTTTTAAGGATTCACAAATGGACATTTGGAGTTTTTAGAGGGCTATGGTGGAAAAGGAAATATCTTCATATGAAAACTAGACAGAAGCATCCTCAGAAACTTCTTTGTTGTGGATGCATTTAACTCACAGAGTTAAGCATACCTTTTCATAGAGCAGTATTGAAACTCTGTTTTTGTAAATTCTACAAGAGGATATTTGGACCGCTTTGAGGCCTTCATTGGAATCGGAATTATACTCACAAAAAAACTAGACAGAAGCATTCTCAGAAACTTCTTTGTGATGAGTGCATTGAACTCACAGAGTTGAACCTTCCTTTTGAGAGAGCAGTTTTGAAACACTCTTTTTGTAGAATCTGCAAATAGACATTTGGAGCGCTTTGGGGCCTTCTTTGGAAACGGGAATATCTTCACATAAAAACTAGACAGAAGCATTCTCAGAAACGACTTTGTAATGTGGGCATTCAATTCACAGAGTTGAACCTTCCTTTTGATGGTGCAGTTTTGAAACACTCTTTTTGTAGAATCTGCAGGTGGACATTTGGAGCACTTTGAGGGCTATGGTGGAGAAGGAAATATCTTCACATAAAAACCAGACAGAAGCATTCTCAGAAACTTCTTTGTGATGTTTGCATTCAACTCTCAGAGTTGAATATACCTTTCCATAGAGCAGTTTTGAAACACTGTTTTTGTGGAATCTGCCAGTGGATATTTTGAGCGCTGTGAAGCCTTCGTTGGAAATGGGAATATCTTCACATAAAAAATAGACAAAAGCATTCTCAGAAACTCCTTTGTGATGTGTGCATTCAACTCACAGAGTTGGACCTTCCTTTTGATAGAGCAGTTTTGAAACACTCTTTTTGTAGAATCTGCAAGTGAATATTTGGAGCAATTTAAGTGTTCGCTGGAAATGGGTATATCTTCACATAAAAACTAGACAGAAGGGTTCTCATAAACTTATTTGTATTGTGGCATTCAACTCACAGAGTTGAACATTTCTTTTGATAGGGCAGTTTTGAAACACTATTTCTGTAGAATCTGCAAGTGGATATTTGGAAGGCTTTGAGGGCTATGGTGGTAAAGGAAATATCTTCACATAAAAACTAGACAGAAGCATTCTCAGAAACTTCTTTGTGATAGGTGCATTCAATGCACAGAGTTGAACCTTCCTTTTGAAAGAGCAGTTTTGCAACTCACTTTTTGTAGAATCTGCAAGTGGATATTTGGAGCGCTATGAGGCCTGTGCTAGAAAAGGAAAAATCTTTATATAAAAACTGGACAGAAACATTCTCTGAAAGTGCCTTGTGATGTGTGCGTTCAACTCACAGAGTTGAAATTTCTTTTGATAGAACACTTTTGAAACTCTTTTTGCAGGATCTGCAAGTGTACATTTGGAGCACTTTGATGGCTATGGTGGAAAAGGAAATATCTTCACATAAAAACTACACAGAAGCATTCTCAAAAACTTCTTTGCAATGTGTGCATTCAACTCACAGAGTTGAACATTTCCTTTGATAGAGCAGTATTGAAACACTCTTTTTGTAGAATCTGCAAGTGGAAATTTGGAGCACTTTGATGACTATGGTGGAAAAGGAAATATCTTCATATGAAAACTAGACAGAAACATTCACATATACTTCTATGTGATGTTTGCATTCAAGTCACAGAGTTGAAAATACCGTTTCAGAGAGCAGTTTTGAAACACTCTTTTTGTAGAATCTACATGTGGATATTTGTGCTGCTTTGAGGCCTTCATTGGAAACAGGAATATCTTCACATAAATACTAGACAGAAGCGTTCTCAGAAAGTTCTTTGTGATTTGTGCCTTCAACTCACAGATTTGAACCTTCGTTTTGATAGAGCATTTTTGAAGCATTCTTTTGTGGAAACTGCAGTTGGATATTTGGAGCGCTTCAAAACCTTCATTGGAAACGGGAATATCTTCACATAAAAACTAGAAAGAAGCATTCTCAGAAAGTTTTTTGTGATGTGTGACTTCAGCTCGCTGAGGTGAACCTTCGTTTTGATAGAGCAGTTTTGAAAAACTCTTTTTGTAGAATCTCCAAGTGGATATTTGGAGTGCATTGGAGCCTTCCTTGGAAACGGGAATATCTTCACATAAAAACTAGACAGAAGCATTTGCAGAAACTCCTTTGTGATGTGTGCATTCAACTGAAAGAGTTGAACATTTCTTTTGATAGAGCAGTTTTGAAAAACTCTTGTTTTAGAATCTGCAAGTGGACATTTTGAGCACCTTTAGGGTCATTGTGGAACAGGAAATATCTTCACATAAAAAATAGATAGAAGCATTCTCAGAATCTTCTTTAAGATTTTTGCATTGACCTCACAAAGTTGAATATACCTTTTCATAGCCAGTTTTGAAACACTCTTTTTGTAGAATCTGCGAGTGGATATTTGGTCCGCTTTGAGGCCTTTGTAGAAAATGGGAATATCTTCACAAAAAACTAGACAGAAGCATTCTCAGAAACTCCTGTGTGATGTGTACATTCAACTCACAGTGTTGAACTTTCCTTTTGATAGAGCAGTTTTGAAACACTCTTTTTGTAGAATCTGCAGATGAATATTTGGAGCACTTTGAAGACTTTGTTGGAAAAAGGAATATCTTCACATTAAAACTAGACAGGACAATTCTCAGAAACCACTTTGTGATGTGTGCATTCTACTCACAGAGTTTAACCATTCTTTTGATAGAGCAGTTTTGAAACACTCTTTTTTTTTGAACCTGCAAGTGGAAACTTGGAGCGTTTTGAGGGCTATGGTGGGAAAGGCAACACCTTCACAGAAAAACTAGACAGAAGCATTCTCAGAAACTTCTTTGTGATGTTTGCATTCAACTCACAGAGTTGAACACACCTTTTCATAGAGCAGTTTTGAAACACTCTTTCTGTAGAATCTGCAAGGGAATATTTGGACCCATTTGAGGCCTCCTTTCGAAACGGGAATATCTTCACAAAAAAACTAGACAGAAGCATTCTCAGAAACTTCTTTGTGATGTTTGCATTCAACTCACAGAGTTGAACACACGTTTTCATAGAGCAGTTTTGAACCACTCTTTCTGTAGAATCTGCAAGGGAATATTTGGACCCATTTGAGGCCTCCTTTCGAAACGGGAATATCTTCACAAAAAAAACTAGACAGAAGCATTCTCAGAAACTTCTTTGTGATGTTTGCATTCAACTCACAGAGTTGAACACACCTTTTCATAGAGCAGTTTTGAAACACTCTTTCTGTAGAATCTGCAAGGGAATATTTGGACCCATTTGAGGCCTCCTTTCGAAACGGGAATATCTTCACAAAAAAACTAGACAGAAGCATTCTCAGAAACTTCTTTGTGATGTGTGCATTCAACTCACAGAGTTGATCCTTTCTTTTGATAGAGCGGTTTTGAAACACTCTTTTTTTAGAATCTGCAAGTGGACATTTGGAGCTTTTTGAGTGCTATGGTAAAAAAGGAAATATCTTCACATAAAAACTAGACAGAAGCATTCTCAGAAACTTCTTTATGATGTTTGCATTCAACTCACAGAGTTGAACATACCTTTTTATAGAGCAGTTTTGAAACAGTCTTTTTGTAGAATCTGCAAGTGGATATTTTGAGCACTCTTAGGCCTTTGTTGTAAACGGGAATAACTTTACATAAGAACAAGACAGAGGCATTCTCAGAAACTTCTTTGTGATGTGTGCATTCAACTTACAGAGTTGAACCTTTCATTTGATTTAACAGTTTTGAAACACTCTTTTTGTAGTATCTGCAAATGGATATTTGGAGCACTTTGAAGGCTATGGTGGAAAAGGAAGTATCTTCACATAAAAACTAGACAGAAGCATTCTCAGAAAATTCTTTGTGATGTGTGCATTCAACTTACAGAGTTGAACCTTTCTTTTCATAGAGCAGTTTTGAAACACTCTTTTTGTTGAATTTGCTAGTGTATATTTGGACAGCATAGAGGCCTTCTTTGGAAATGGCATATCTTCACATAAAACCTAGACAGAAGATTTCTCAGAACCTTCTTTGTGATGTGTGAATTCAAGTTACTGAGATGATCCTTTCTTTTGATAGAGCAGTTTTGAAACGCTCTTTTTGTAGTATCTGCAAGTGGACATTTTGAGCGCTTTGAGGCCTACGGTGAAAAAGGAAATATCTTCAAATAAAAACTAGACAGAAGCATTCTCAGAAACTCGTTTGTGATGAGTGTATTCAACTGACAGAGTTGAATCTTTCTTTTGATAGAGCAGTTTTGAAAGACTCTTTTGGTAGAATCTGCAGGTGGACATTCAGAATGCTTGGAGGCCTATAGTGAAAAAGGGAATATCTTCACATAAAAACTACACAGAAGTATTCTCAGAAACTTCTTTGTGATGTGTGCATTCAACTCACAGATTTGAACCTTTCTTTTGATTTAACAGTTTTGAAACACTTTTTGTAGAATCTGCAATTGGACATTTGGAGATCTTTGAGGCCTATGGTGAAAAAGGAAACATCTTCACTTAAAAACTACACAGAAGCATTCTCAGAAACTTCCTTGTGACGTTTGCTTTCAACTGAGAGAGTTGAACATTAATTTTCCCACAGCAGTTTTAAAACACTCTTTTTGAAGAATTTGCATGTGGTTATTTGGAGCACTTTGAGGCCTTCGTTGGAAACAGAGTACTTTTACATAAAAACTAGACAGGAGCTTTGACAGAAACTTCTTTGTGATGTATGCTTTCAACTCACAGAGTTGAAACTTTCTTGTGATAGAGCAGTTTTGAAACACTCTTTTTGTAGGCTCTGCAAGTGGACATTAGGAGGGCTTTGAGTCTAATGGAGAAAAACGAAATCTCTTCACATAAAAACTACACAGAAGCATTATCAGAAACTTCTTTGTGATGTGTGCATTCAACTCACAGATTTGACCCTTTCTTTTCATAGAGTCGTTTTGAAACACTCTTTTTTTGAATTTGCAAGTATATGTTGGACCGCTTAGAGGACTTTGTTGGAAACGGGATATCTTCACATAAAAACTAGACAGAAACATTCTCAGAAACTTCTTTTTGATGTGTGCATTCAACTCACAGAGATGAACCTTTCTTTTGATAGAGCAATATTGAAACACTATTCTTGTAGAATCTGCGAGTGGACATTTGGAGCGCTTTTAGGGCTATGGTGAAAAATTAAATATCTTCACATAAAAACTAGGCAGAAGCATTCACAGAAACCTCTTTGTGATGTGTGCATTCAACTCACAGAGTTGAACCTTTCTTTTGATAGAGCAGTTTTGAAACAATCCTTTTGTAGAATCTGTAAGTGGACATTTGAGCGCTTTGAGGTCGGAGGTGAAAAAGAAAATATCTTCATATGAAAACTACACAGAAACATTCTCAGAAACTTCTTTCTGATATTTGCTTTCAACTCACGGAGTTGAACTTTCCTTTTCATAGAGCAGTTTTGAAACACTCTTTTTGTAGCATTTCCAAGTGGATATTTGGAAGGCTTAGAGGCCTTCATTGGAAACAGGATATCCTCACATAAAAAACAGAAAGAAGCATTCTCAGAAACTTCTTTGTGATGTGTGCATTCAACTCACAGGGTTGAAACTTTCTTTTGATAGAGCAGTTTTGAAACACTCTTTTTGAAGAATTTGCAAGTGGATATTGGGACAGCTTAGAGGCCTTCGTTGGAAACGGAATATCTTCACATAAAAACGAGACAGAAGCATTCTCAGGAACTTCTTTGTGATGTGTACATTCAACTCACAGAGTTGAAGCTTTCTTTTGATAGAGCTGTTTTGTAACACTCTTTTTGTGGAATCTGCAAGTGGACGTATGAAGCTCTTTGAGGCCAAAGGAGAAAAACGAATCTCTTCATATAAAAACTACAAAGAAACATTCTCAGAAACTTCTTTTTGATGTGTGCTTTCAACTGACAGAGTTGAACCTATCTTTTCATGGAGTAGTTTGGAAACACCCTTGTTGTTGACTTTGCTAGTGTATATATGGATAGATTTGAGGCCTTCATTTGAAATAGGATAACTTCACAAAAAAACAGACAGAAACATTCTCAGAAACTACTTTGTGATGAGTGAATTCAACTCACAGAGTTGAGTCTTTCTTTTGATAGAACAGTTTTGAAACACTCTTTTTGTAGAATCTGCAAGTGGACATTTGGAGAGCTTTGAGGCCTATGGAGAAAAAGGAAATATCTTCACTTAAAAACCACAGAGAAGCATTCTCAGAAACTTCTTGTGATGTTTGCTTTCAACTCACAGAGTTGAACATTCCTTTTCATAGAGCACTTTTGAAACACTCTTTTTGTAGTGTTTGCAAGTGGATATTTGGACCACTTTGAGGCCTTCATTGGAAACGGAATATCTTCACATTAAAAGCAGATGGAAGCATTCTCAGAAACTTCTTTCTGATGTGTGCATTCAACTCACATAGTTGAACCTTTCTTGTGATAGAGCAGTTTTGAAACACTCTTTTTGTAGAATCTGCAAATGGACATAAGAGTGCTTGGAGGCCTATGGTAAAAAAGGAAATATCTTCACATAAAAATTGCACAGAAGCATTCTCAGAGACTTGTTTGTGCTGATTGTTTTCAACTCACAGAGTTGAACGTTCCTTTTCATAGAGCAATTTTGAAACGCTCTTTTGGTGGAATTTGCAAGTTTATATTTGTACCACTTTGAGGCCTTTGTTGGAAAAGGAATACCTTCACATAAAAACTGGACAGAAACATTGACAGAAACTTCTTCGTGATGTATGCATTCAACTCACAGAGTTGAACCTTTCTTTTGATAGAGCAGTTTTGTAACACTCTTTTTGTAGAATCTGCAAGTGGACATTTAGAGTGCTTTGAGGCCTATGGTGAAAAAGGGAATATCTCCAAATAAAAACTACACAGAAGTATTCTCAGAAACTTCTTTGTGATGTATGCATTCAGCTGAAAGAGTTCAACCTTTGTTTTGTTACAGCAGCTTTGAAACACTCTTTTTGTAGAATCTGCAAGTGGACATTTGGAGGGCTTGGAGGACTATGGTGAAAAAGGAAAAATCTTCACATAAAAACTACACAGTAGTATTCTCAGAAACTTCTTTTTACTGTTTACTTTCAACTCACAGAGTTGAACATTGCATTTATTAGAGCAGTTTTGAAACCCGTTTTTTGTGGAATTTGCATTTCAATATTTGTACCACTATGAGGCCTTCGTTGGAAACGGAATACCTTCACATAAAAACTAGACAGAAGCACTGACAGAAACTTCTTTGTGATGTATGCATTCAACTCACAGAGTTGAACCTCTCTATTGATAGAGCAGTTTTGAAACACTCTTTTTGTAGAATCTGCAATTGGCTATTTAGAGTGCTCTGAAGCCTATGGTGAAAAAGGGAATATCTTCACATAAAAACTTCACAGAAGTATTCTCAGAAACTTCTTTGTGATGTGTGCATAAAACTCAAAGAGATGAACCTTTCTTTTGATAGAACAGCTTTGAAACATTCTTTTTGTAGTATCTGCAAGTGGACATTTGGAAATCTTTGAGGTCTACGGTGAAAAAGGAAATATCTTCACTTCAAAACTACACAGAAGCATTCTCAGAAACTTCCTTGTGACATTTGCTTTCAACTCATAGAGTTGAACACTAATTTTCTTACAGCAGTTTTGAAACATTCTTTTTGTAGTGTTTGCATGTGGATATTTGGAACACTATGAGGCCGTCTTTGGAAATGAGATATCTTCACATACAAACTAGGCAGAATCATTCTCAAAAACTTATTTGAGATTTGTGTATCCAACACACAGAAATGAAACTTTCTTTTGATAGAGCAGTTTTGTAACACTCTTTTTCTACAATCTGCAAGTTGACATTTAGAACGCTTTGTGGCCAAAGGAGAAAAACGAAATCTCTTCTCATAAAAACTACACAGAAGCATTCTCAGAAACTTCTCTGTGATGTGTGCATTCAACTCACAGATTTGAACTTTCTTTTCATAGAGCAGTTTTGAAACACTCTTTTTGCTGAATTTGCTAGTGTATATTTGGACCGCTTAGAGGCCTTCGTTGGAAACTGGATATCTTCACATAAAAAATAGACAGAAGCATTATGAGAAACCTCTTTGTGATGTATGCATTCAACTCAGAGAGATGAACCTTTCTTTTGAAAGAGCAGTTTTGAAACATTCTTTTTGTAGAATCTGCAAGTGGACATTTGGAGCGCTTTGAGATCTTTAGTGAAAAAGGAAATATCTTCACATAAAAACTGGATGGAAGCATTTACAGAAACTTCTTTGTGACGAGTGCATTCAACTCGCAGAGTTAAATCTTTCTTTTAATAGAGCAGTTTTGAAACACTCTTTTTGTAGAATCTGCAAGTGGACATTTGGAGAGCTTTGAGGTCTATGGTGAAAAAGGAAATATCTTCACTTAAAAACTACACGGAAACATTCTCAGAAACTTCGTTGTGACGTTTGCTTTCAACTCACAGAGTAGAACACTAATTTTCATACAGCAGTTTTGAAACACTCTTTTTGTATTGTTTGCATGTGGATAATAGTACCACTTTGAGGTCTTCGTTGGAAACGGGATATCTTCACATAAAAACTAGACAGAAGAATTCACAGAAACTTCTTTGTAATGTGTGCATCCAACTCACAGTGTTAAACCTTTCTTCTGATAGAGCAGGTTTGAAACACTCCTTTTGTAGAATCTGCAAGTGGACATTTGAGCCCTTTGAGGTCTGTGGTGAACGAGGAAATATCTTCATATAAACACTAAACAGAAGCATTCTCAGAAACTTACTTGTGACGTTTGCTTTCAACTCACAGTGTTGAACATTAATTTTCCTACAGCAGTTTTGAAACACTCTTTTTGTAGAATTTGCAAGTGAATACTTGGACCACTTTGAGGCCTTCTTGGAAACGGGATATCTTCACATAAGAAGCAGAAGGAAGCATTTTCAGAAACTCCTTGGTGATGTGTGCATCCAACTCACAGATTAGAACATTTCTTCTGATAGAGCAGGTTTGAAACTCTCTTTTTGTAGAATCTGCAAGTGGACATTTGAGCGCTTTGAGGCATGTGGTGAAAAAGGAAATATCTTCACATGAACACTACACAGAAGCATTCTCAGAAACTTCTTTGCGATATTTGGTTTCAACTCACAGAGTTGAATATTCCCTTTCATATAGTAGTTTTGAAACACTCTTTTCGTAGAATTTGCAAGTGCATACTTCGACCACTTTGAGGCCTTCATTGGAAACGGGATATCTTCACATAAAAAGCAGGTAGAAACATTCTCAGAAACTCCTTGGTGATGTGTGCATTCAACCCACAGAGTTGAACCTTTCTTTTGATAGAGAAGTTTTGAAACACTCTTTTTGTAGAATCTACATGTGGACATTTGGAGCACTTGGAGGCCTATGGTGATAAAGGAAATATCTTCACATAAAAACTAGACAGAAGCATTCACAGAAACTTCTTTATGATGTGTGCATCCAACTCACAGAGTTGAAACTTTCTTTTGATAGAGCAGTTTTGAAACACTCTTTTTGTAGAATCTGCAAGTGGACATTTGAGCGCCTCGAGGCCTGTTTTGGAAAAGGAAATATCTTCACATAAACACTACACAGAAGCATTCTCAGAAACTCCTTTGTGATGTTTGCTTTCAACTCACAGAGTTGAACATTCCTTTTCATAGAGTAGTTTTGAAACTCTTTTTTAGAATTTGCAAGTGGATATTTGGACCACTTTGAGGTCTTCCTTGGAAACGGGATATTTTCACATAAAAAGCAGACAGAAGCATTCTCTGAAACTACTTTGTGATGTGTACATTTAACTCACAGAGTTGAACCTTTCTTTTGATACAGCAGTTTTGAAAAACTCTTTTTTTAGAATCTGCAAGTGGACATTTGAAGCATTTGGAGGCCTTGGTTGAAAAAGTAAATATCTTCACATAAAAACTATACAGAAGTATTCACAGAAACTTCTTTGTGCTGTGTGCATCCAACTCACAGAGTCGAAACTTTCTTTGATAGAGCAGTTTTGAAACACTCTTTTTGTAGAATCTGCAGGTGGACATTTGAGCGCTTTTAGTCCTGTGGGAAAAAGGAAATATCTTTACATGAACAGTACACAGAAGCATTCTCAGAAACTTCTTTGTGATGTTTGCTTTCAACTCACAGAGTTAAACATTCCTTTTCTTAGAGCAGTTTTGAAACACTCTTTTTGTGGAATTTGCAAGTCGATAATTGTACCAATTTGAGGCCTTTGTTGGAAACGGAATACCTTCACATAAAAACTAGAGAGAAGCATTGACAGAAACTTCCTTGTGATGTATGCATTAAACTCACAGAGTTGAACCTTTTTTTAGATATAGCAGTTTTGAAACAGTCTTTGTACAATCTGGTAGTGGACATTTAGAGCGCTTTGAGGCCAATGGAGAAAAACGAAATCTCTTCTCATAACAACACAGAAGCATTCACAGAAACTTCTTTCTGATGTGTGCATTCAACTCAGAGAGTTGAACCTTTATTTTCATAAAATAGTTTTGAAACACTCTTTTTGCTGGATTTGCTAGTGTATGCTTGGACCGCTTAGAGGCCTTTGTTGGAAACGGGCTATCTTCACATAAAAGCTATACAGAAGCATTCTCAGAAACTTCTTTGTGATATGTGCATTGAACTCACAGAGACAAAACTTTCTTTTGATAGAGCAGTTTTGAAGAACTTTTTTTGTAGAATCTGCAGGTGGACATTTGGAGCGCTTTCAGGGCTATGGTGAAAAAGGAAATATCTTCACATAAAAACTAGACAGAAACATTTTCAGAAACTTCTTTGTGATGAGTGCATTCAACTCACAGAGTTGAATCTTTCTTTTGATAGATCAGTTTTGAAACACTCCTTTTGTAGAGTCTGCAAGAGGACATTTAGAGTCCTTTGAGGCCTATGGTGAAAAAGGAAATATCTAAACATTAAAACTGCACAGAAGTATTCTCAGAAACTTATTTGTGATGTGTGCATTCAACTCACAGAGTTGAACCTTTCTTTTGATAGAGCAGTTTTGAAACAATCTTTTTGTCGAGTCTGCAAGTGGACATTTTGGAGCTCTTGGAGGCCTGTGGTGAAAAAGGAAATATCTTCACACAAAAACTGCACAGAAGCATTCTTAGAAACTTCTTTGTGCTGTTTGCTTTCAACTCACAGAGTTGAACAGTCCTTTTCTTAGAGCAGTTTTGAAACCCTCTTTTTGTGGAATTTGCAAGTCGGTATCTGTACCAGTTTGAGGCCTTCTTTGGAAAAGGAATACCTTCACATAAAAACTAGACAGAATCATTGACAGAAACGACTTTGTGATGAGTGCATTCAAGTCACAGACTTGAATCTTTCTTTGATAGTGCAGTTTTGTAACACTCTTTTTGTAGAATCTGAAAGTGGACATTTGGAGCGCTTTGAGGCCAATGGAGAAAAAAGAAATCTCTTTACATAAAAACTACACAGAAGCATTCTCAGAAACTTCTTTGTGATGTTTGCATTCAACTCACAGAGTTGAAACTTTCTTTTGATAGAGTAGTTTTGAAGCACTCTTTTTGTAGAATCTGCAAGTGGACATTTGGAGTGCTTGGAGGCCTGTGGTGAAAAAGGAAATATCTTCACATAAAAACTACGCAGAAGCATTTCCAGAAACTTCTTTGTAATGAGTGCATTCAACTCAGAGAGTTGAACCTTTCTTTTAATAGAGGAGTTTTGAAACTCTTTTTTTGTAGAATCTGCAAGTGGACATTTAGAGTGCCTTGAGGCCTATAGTGAAAAAGGGAGTATCTTCACATAAAAACTACACAGAAGTATTCTCAGAAACTTCTTTGTGATGCTTGCATTCAATTCACAGAGTTGAACCTTTCTTTTGATAGAGCAGTTTTGAAACATTCTTTTTGTAGAATCTGCAAGTGGACATTTGGAGAGCTTTGAGATCTATGGTGAAAAAGGAAATATCTTCACTTAAAACTACACAGAAGCATTCTCAGAAACTTCTTTGTGACGTTAGCTTTCAACTCACAGAGTTAAAGAATAATTTTCCTACAGCACTTTTGAAACACTCTTTTTGTAGTATTTGCATGTGGATATTTTGAACACTTTGAGGCCTTTGTTGGAATTGGAATATCTTCACTTAAAAACTAGACAGAAGCATTCACAGAAACTTTTTTTTGATGTTTGCTTTCAACTCACAGAGTAGAACATTCCTTTTCATTGAGCAGTTTTGAAAAAACTTTTTGTGGAATTTGCAAGTGGATATTTTTACCACTTTGAGGCCCTCATAGGAAAAGTAATACCTTCACATAAATACTAGACAGAAGCAGTCTCAGAAACTTCTTTGTGATGTGTGTATTCAACTCAGAGAGTTGAACCTTTCTTTTGATAGAGCGGATTTGAAGCACTCTATTTGTAGAATCTGCAAGTGGACTTTTGAGTGCTTGGAGGCCTATAGTGAAAAAGGAAATATCTTCACATAAAAACTGCACAGAAGCATTCTCAGGAACTTCTTTGTGCTGTCTGCTTTCAACTCGCAGAGTTGAACGTTCCTTTTCATAGAGCAGTTTTGAAACACTGTTTTGGTGGAATTTGGAAGTTGATATTTGTACCACTTTGAGGCCTTCGTTGGAAAAGGAATACCTTCACATAAAAACTAGACAGAAGCATTGACAGAAACTTCTTTGTGATGTATGCATTCAACTCACAGAATTGAACCTTTCTTTTGATAGAGCAGTTTTGTAACAATCTTTTTGTAGAATCTGCAAGTGGACATCTGGAGCGCTTTGAGGCCAAAGGAGAAAAACGAAATCACTTCACATAAAAACTACACAGAAGCATTCCCAGAAAGTTCTTTGTGATGTGTGCATTCAACTCACAGAGGTGAACCTTTCTTTTCATAGAGCAGTTTTGAAACACTCTTTTTGCTGAATTTGCTAGCGTATATTTGGACCGCTTAGAGGTGTTCGTTGGAAACGGGATATCTTCACATAAAACTAGACAGAAGCATTCTCAGAAACTTCTTTGTGATGAGTGCATTCAACTCACAGAGATGAACCTTACTCTTGATGGGGCAGATTAGAAACACTCTTTTTGTGGTATCTGCAAGTGGACATTTGGAGTGCTTTGAGGGCTATGGTGAAAAAGGAAATATCTTCACATAAAAAATAGACAGAAGCTTTTTCAGAAACTTCTTCATGATGAGTGAATTCAGCCCAAAGAGTTGAATCTTTCTTTTAATAGAGCAGTTTTGAAACACTCTTTTTGTGGAATCTACAAGTGGACATTTAGAGGGCTTTGAGGCCTATAGTGAAAAAGGGAATATCTTCACATAAAAACTACACAGAAGTATTCTCAGAAATTTCTTGTGATGCGTGCATTCATCCCACAGAGTTGAACCTTTCTTTTGATAGAGCAGTTTTGAAACACTCTTTTTGTAGAATCTGCAAGTGGACATTTGGAGAGCTTTGAGGTCTATGGTGAAAAAGGAAATATCTTCACTTAAAAACTACACAGAAGCATTCTCAGAAACTTCCTTGTGACGTTTGCTTTCAACTCACAGAGGTGAACATTAATTTTCCTACAGCAGTTTTCAAACACTCTTTTTGTAGTATTTACATGTGGATATTTGGAACACTTTGAGGCCTTCATTGGAAACGGGATATCTTCACATAAAAACTAGACAGAAGCATACACAGAGACTTCTTTGTGAAGTGTGCATCCAACTCACAGAGTTGAACCTTTCTTTTAATAGAGCCGTTTTGAAACACTCTTTTTATAGAATCTGCAAGTGGACATTTGAGCACTTTGAGGCCTGTGGTGAAAAAGGAAATATCTTCACATAAACACCACACAGAAGCATTCTCTGAAATTTCTTTGTCATGTTTGCTTTCAAATCACAGAGTTGAATATTCCTTTTCATAGAGTAGTTTTGAAACACTCTTTTGTAGAATTTGCAAGTGGATATTTGGACTACTTTAATGCCTTCATTGGAAACGGGATATCTTCACATAAAAACCAGACAGAAGGATTCTCAGAAACTCCTTAGTGATGTGAGCATTCAACTCACAGAATTGAGCCTTTCTTTTGATAGAGCAGTTTTGAAGCACTCTTTTTTTAGAATCTGCAATTGGACATTTGGATCGCTTGGAGGCCTATTGTGAAAATGAAAATATCTTCACATAAAAACTGCCCAGAAGCATTCTCAGAAACTTGTTTGTGGTGTTTGCTTTCAACTCACAGAGTTGAACATTCTTTTCATAGAGCAGTTTTGCAACCCTCTTTTTGTGGAATTTGCAAGTCAGTATCTGTACCAGTTTGAGGCCTTCTTTGGAAAAGGAATACCGTCACATAAAAACTAGACAGAATCATTGACAGAAACGACTTTGTGATGTATGCATTTAACTCACAGAGTTGAACCTTTCTTTTAATAGAGCAGTTTTGTAACACTCTTTTTGTAGAATCTGCAAGTGGACATTTGGAGTGCTTTGAGGCCAATGGAGAAAAAAGAAATCTCTTTACATAAAAACTACACAGAAGCATTCTCAGAAACTTTTTTGTGATGTTCGCATTCAACTTAGAGTTGAAACTTTCTTTTGATAGAGCAGTTTTGAAGCACTCTTTTTGTAGAATCTGCAAGGGGACATTTGGAGTGCTTGGAGGCCTGTGGTGAAAAAGGAAATATCTTCACATAAAAACTACACAGAAGCATTTCCAGAAACTTCTTTGTAATGAGTGCATTCAACTCAGAGAGTTGAATCTTTCTTTTGATAGAGGAGTTTTGAAACTCTCTTTTTGTAGAATCTGCAAGTGGACATTTAGAGTGCCTTGAGGCCTATAGTGAAAAAGGGAATATCTTCACATAAAAACTACACAGAAGTATTCTCAGAAACTTATTTGTGATGCTTGCATTCAACTCACAGAGTTGAACCTTTCCTTTGATAGAGCAGTTTTGAAGCACTCTTTTTGTAGAATCTGCAAGTGGACATTTGGAGCACTTGGAGGCCTTTGGTGAAAAAGGAAATACCTTCACTTAAAAACTACACAGAAGCATTTCCAGAAACTTCTTTGTGATGAGTGCATTCAACTCACAGAGTTGAATCTTTCTTTTGATAGAGCAGTTTTGAAACTCTCTTTTTGTAGAATCTGCAAGTGGACATTTAGAGTGCCTTGAGGCCTATAGTGATAAAGGTAATATCTTCACATAAAAACTACACAGAAGTATTTTCAGAAACTTCTTTGTGATGTGTGAATTCAACTCACAGAGTTGAACCTTTCCTTTGATAGAGCAGTTTTGAAACACTCTTTTTGTAGAATCTGCAAGTGAACATTTGGAGAGCTTTGAGGTCTATAGTGAAAAAGGAAATATCTTCACTTAAAAAATACACAGAAGCATTCTCAAAAACTACTTTGTGACTTTTGCTTTCAAGTCACAGAGTAGAACACTAATTTTCACACAACAGTTTTGAAACACTATTTTTGTAGTGTTTGCATATGGATATTTGGAACACTTTAAGGCCTGCATTGGAAATGGGATATCTTCACATAAAAACTAGACAGAAGCATTCAGAGAAACTTATTTGTGATGTGTGCATTCAACTCACAGAGTTGTACGTTTCTTTTGATAGAGCAGTTTTGTAACACTCTTTTTGTAGAATCTGCAAGTGGACATTTGGAGTGCTTTGAGGCCAATGGAGAAAAACGAAATAGCTTCACCTAAAAACTACACAGAAGCATTCTCAGAAACTTCTTTGTGATGTGTGCATTCATCTCACAGAGTTGAACCTTTCTTTTCATAGAGTGGTTTTGAAACACTTTTTGCTGAATTTGCTGGTGTATATTTGGACCGCTTAGAGGTCTTCGTTGGAAACAAGATATCTTCACATAAAACCTTGATAGAAGCATTCTCAGAAACTTCTTTGTGTTGTGAGCATTCAACTCACAGAGTTGAATCTTTCTCTTGATAGAGAAGTTTTGAAACACTCTTTTTGTAGAATCTGCAAGTGGACATTTGGAACGCTTGGAGGCCTATGGTGAAAAAGGAAATATCTTCATATAAAAACTGCACAGAAGTATTCTCAGAAACTTGCTTGTGCTGTTTGCTTTCAACTCACATAGTTGAACATTCCTTTTCATGGGGCAGTTTTGAAACACTCTTTTTGTGGAAATTGCAAGTCGATATTTGTACCACTCTGAGGCCTTTGTTGGAAAAGGAATACCATCACAAAAAAACTAGACAGAAGCATTGAAAGAAACTTCTTTGTGATGTATGCATTCAACTTACAGAGTTGAACCTTTCTTTTGATATAGCAGTTTTGTAACACTCTTTTTCTAGAATCTGCAAGTAGACATTTGGAGCGCTTTGAGGCCTATGGAGAAAAATGAAATCTCTTCACATAATAACTACATAGAAGCATTCTCAGAAACTTCTTTGTGATGTGTGCATTCAACTCACAGAGTTGAACTTTTCTTTTCATAGAGTAGTTTTGAAACACTGTTTTTGCTGAATTTGCTACTCTATATTTGGACGGCTTAGAGACCTTCGTTTGAAAGGGGATATCTTCACATAAAAAGTAGACAGAAGCATTCTCAGAAACTTCTTTGGGATGTGAGCATTCAACTCACAGAGTTGAACCTTTCTTTTGATAGAGCAGTTTTGAAAGACTCTTTTTGTAGTATCTGCAAGTGGACATTTGGGGCGCTTTGAGGCCTATGGTGAACAAGGAAATATCTTCACTTAAAAATTAGACAGAAGCATTTTCAGAAACTTCTTTGTGATGAATGCATTCAACTCACAGAGTTGAACCTTTCTTTTGATAGAGCAGTTTTGTAACACCCTTTTTGTAAAATCTGCATGTGGACATTTGGAGTGCTTTGAGGCCAATGGAGAAAAACGAAATCTCTTCCTTTAAAAACTACACAGAAGCATTCTCAGAAACTTGTTGGTGATGAGTGCATTCAACTCACAGAGTTGAACCTTTCTTTTCATAGAGCAGCTATGAAACACTCTTTTTGCTGAATTTGCCACTGTATATTTGGAAAGCTTAGAGGCCTTCGTTGGAAATGGGATATCTTCACATAAAAACTAGACAGAAGCATTCTCAGAAACTTCTTTGTGATGTGTGCATTCAAGTTACAGAGATGATCCTTTCTTTTGATAGACCAGTTTTGAAACACTCTTTTTGTAGAATCTGCAAGTGGACATTTGGAGCACTTTGAGGCCTATGGTGAAAAAAGAAATATCTTCCCATAAAAGCTAGACAGAAGCATTACTAGAAACTTCTTTGTGATGAGTGCATTCAACTCACAGAGTTGAATCTTTCTTTTGATAGAGCAGTTTTGAGACACTCTTTTTGTAGAATCTGCAAGTTGGCATTTAGAGTGCTCTGAGGGCTATGGTGAAAAAGGTAATATCTTCACATAAAAACTACACAAAAGTATTCTCAGAAACTTCTTTGTGACGTTTGCCTTCAACTCACAGAGTTGAACGCTAATTTTCCTACAGCAGTTTTGAAACACTCTTTTTGCAGAGTTTGCATGTGAATATTTGGAACACTTTGAGGCCTTCATTGGAAACGGGATATCTTCACATAAAAACTACACAGAAGCATTCACAGAGACTTCTTTGTGAAGTGTGCGTTCAACTCACAGATTTTAACCTTTCCTTGTATATAGCAGTTTTTAAACACTCTGTTTGTAAGTCTGCATCTTTATATTTGGAGCGCTTTGTGGTTTTCTTTGGAAACGGGAATATCTTCACATAAAAAGTAGACAGAAATATTCTCAGAAACTTCTTTGTGATGTCTGCAGTCAACTCACAGAGTTGAACCTTACTTTTGATAAAGCAGTTTTTGAACATTCTTTTTGTAGAATTTTCAGGTGGATATTTAGAGCGCCTTGGGGCGAACAGTAGAAAAGGAAATATCTTCCTAGAAAAAAAACACAGAAGCATTCTCAGAAACAAATTTGTGATGTTTGCATTCAACTCACAGAGTTGAACATTCCTTTTGATAGAGCAGTTTTGTAACACTCTTCTTGTAGAATCTGGGAGTGGATATTTGGACCTCTTTTAGGCCTTCATTGGAACCGGGAATTTGTTCAAAAAAAACTATACAGAAGAAATCTCAGAAACTTCTTTGTGATATGCGCATTCAATTCACAGAGTTGAACGTTCCTTTCTATAGAGCACTTTTGAAACACTCTTTCTGTAGAACTTCCAAGTACATAATTAGGGCGCTTAGAGGCCTATGGTGGAAAAGGAAATATCTTCATATAAAAACTAGACAGAATCATTCTCAGAAACTACTTTGTGATGGGCGCGTTTAACTCACTGAGTTTAACCTTACTTTTGATAGGGCAGTTTTGAAACACTCTTTTTGTAGAATTTGCTAGTGTGTATTTAGAGCACTTTGAGGCCTATGGTAGAAAAGGAAACATCTTCACATAAAAAACTAGACAGAAGCATTCCCAGAAACTACTTTGTGATGTTTGCATAGAACTGACAGAGTTGAACACTGCTCTTGATAGAGCATTTTTGAAACACTCTTTTTGTAGAATCCATAAGTGGATATTTGGAACTCTTTGAGGCCTTTGTTGGAAATGGGATTTCTTCAAATAAAACTAGACAGAAGAATTCTCAGAAACTTCTTTGTGATGTGTGAGTTCAACTCACAGAGTAGAATCTTCCTTTTGATACAGCAGATTTGGAAACACTCTTTTTGAAGAATTTCCAAGTGGATATTTAGAGTGCTTTGAATCCTATGGTAGAAAGGGAAATATCTTCATATAAAAACTAGACAGAATCACTCCCAGAAACTACTTTGTGATGTGTGCGTTCAACTCACAGAGTCTAACCTTTTTTTTGATAGAGCAGTTTTGAAACACTCTGTTTGTAAAGTCTGCATCTGGATATTTGGATCGCTTTGAGGTTTTCTTTGGAAACTGGAATATCTTCACATAAAAAGTAGACAGAAGTATTCTCAGAATCTTATTTGTGATGTCTGTACTCAACTCACAGAGATGAAACTTCCTTTTGATAGAGCAGTTTTGAAACACTCTTTTTGTATAATTTTCAAGTGGATATTTAGAGCGCTTTGGGGCCTGTGGTAGAAAAGGAAATATGTTCGTAGAAAAACTACACAGAAGCATTCTCAGAAACTACTTTGTGACGTGTGCATTCAAATCACTGAGTTTAAACTTTCTTTTGATAGAGCAGTTTGTAACACTCTTTTTGTAGAATTTGCAAGTGAGTATTTAGAGCGCTTTGAGGCCTGTGATAGAAAAGGAAATATCTTCAAATAAAAACTAGATAGAAGCATTCTCAGAAACTACTTTGTGATGTTTGCTTTTAACTCACACAGTTGAACATTCCTCTTGATAGAGCAGTTTTGGAAAACTCTGATTGTAAATTCTGCAAGTGGATATTTGGAGCACTTTGAGGACTTCTTTGGAAACGGGAGTACCTTCACATAAAAAGTAGACAGAAGTATTCTCAGAAACTTCCTTGTGACGTCTGCACTCAACTCACAGAGTTGAACCTTCCTTTTAATAGAGCAGTTTTGAAGCACTCTTTTTGTAGAATTTGAAAGTGGATATTTAGAGCACTTTGGGGCCTATGGTAGAAAAGGAAATATCTTCATAGAAAAAATACATGGAAGCATTCTCAGAAACTACTTTGTGATGTTTGCATTCAACTCACAGAGTTGAACATCCTTTTGATAGAGCAGTTTTGAAACACTCTTTTTGTAGAATCTGCAAGTGGATATTTGGACCTCTTTGAGGACTTCGTTGGAACCAAGAATTTCTTCATAAAAAAACAAGACAGAATAATTCTCAGAAACTTTTTTGTGATGTGTGCATTCAACTCACAGAGTTGAACTTTCCTTTCAATAGAGCAGTTTTGAAACACTCTTTTTGTAGAATTTCCAAGTGGATATTTAGGACGCTTAGAGGCCTATGTTAGAAAATAAAATATCTTCATATAAAAACTAGACAGAATCATTCTCAGAAACTAATTTGTGATGTGCACGTTCAACTCACTGACTTTAACCTTTCTTTTGAAAGAGCTGTTTTGAAACACTGTTTTTGTAGAATTTGCAAGTGTGAATTTAGAGCGCTTTTAGGCCTATGGTAGAAAAGGAAATATCTTCACAGAAAAACTAGACAGAAGCATTGTCAGAAGCTACTTTCTGATGTTTACATTTTAACTCACAGAATTGAACATTCCTCTTGACAGAGCAGTTTTTAAACACTCTTTTTGTAGTATCTGTAAGTGGATACTTCGACCTCTTTGAGGCCTTCGTTGGAAACGGGATTTCTTCATATAAAACTAGACTGACAATTTCTCAGAAACTTCTTTTGGATGTGTGCATTCAACTGACAGAATTGAAACTTCCTTTTGATAGAGCAGATTTCAAACACTCTTTTTGTAGAATTTCCAAGTGGATATTTAGAGCGCTTTGAATCCTGTGGTAGAAAAGGAAATATCTTCATATAAAAACTAGACAGAATCATTCCCAGAAACTAGTTTGTGATGTGTGCGTTAAACTCACAGACTTTAAACTTTCTTTGGATAGAGCAGTTTTGAAACACTCTGTTTGTAAAGTCTGCAATTGAATATTTGGAGTGCTTTGAGGCCTTCTTTGGAAACTGGAGTATCTTCACATAAAAATTAGACAGAAGTATTCTCAGAAACATCCTTGTGATGTCTGCACTCAACCCACAGACTTGAACATTCCTTTTGATAGAGCAGTTTTGTAACATTCTTTTTGAAAAATCTGCAAGTGGATATTGGGGCCTCTTTGAGGCCTTCATTGGAACCGGGAATTTCTTCATATAAAAACTAGACAGAAGAATTCTCAGAAACTTCTTTGTGATGTGTGCATTCAATTCACAGAGTTGAACGTTCCTTTCGATAGAGCAGTTTTGAAACACTCTTTTTGTAGAATTTTCAAGTGGGTACTAAGGGCGCTTTGAGGCCTATGATAGAAAAGGAAATATCTTCATTAAAAACAAGACAGAAATATTCTCAGAAACCACTTTGTGATGTGCACTTTCAACTCACTGAGTATAACCTTTCTTTTGAAAGAGCAGTTTTGAAACACTCTTTTTGTAGAATTTTCAAGTGGGTACTAAGGGCGCTTTGAGGCCTATGATAGAAAAGGAAATATCTTCATTAAAAACAAGACAGAAATATTCTCAGAAACCACTTTGTGATGTGCACTTTCAACTCACTGAGTATAACCTTTCTTTTGAAAGAGCAGTTTTGAAACACTCTATTTGTAGAATTTGCAAGTGTGAATTTAGAGCACTTTGAGGCCCATGGTAGAAAAGAAAACATCTTCACATAAAAACTAGACAGAAGCATTCTCAGAAACTACTTTGTGATGTTTGCATTCAACTCCCAGAGTTCAACATTCCTCTTGATAGAGCAGTTTTGAAACACTCGGTTTGTAGAATCTGCTGGTGGGTATTTGGTCCTCTTTGAGGCCTTCGCTGGAAACAGGGTTTCTTTATATAAAAGTAGACAGAAGAATTCTCAGAAAATTCTTTGTGACGTGTGCATTCAACTCACAGTGTTGAATCTTCCTTTTGATAGAGCAGATTTGAAACACTCTTTTTGTAGAATTTCCAAGTGGATATTTAGAGCGCTTTGAATTCTATGGTAGAAAAGGAAATATCTTCATATAAAAACTAGACAGAATCATTCCCAGAAACTACCTTGTGATGTGTGCCTTTGACTCACAGAGTTTAACCTTTCTTTGATAGAGCAGTTTTGAAACATTCTGTTTGTAAAGTCTGCATCTGGATATTTTGAGCGCTTTGAGGTTTTCTTTGGAAACGGGAATATCTTCACATGAAAAGTAGACAGAAGTATTCTCAGAAACTTATTTGTGATGTCTGTACTCAACTCACAGAGGTGAGCGTTCCCTTTGATAGAGCAGGTTTGAAACACTCTTTTTGTAGTGTTTGCAACTCGATATTTAGAGCGCTTTGAGGCCTATTTTACAAAAGGAAATATCTTCATATAAAAACTAGACAGAATCATTCTCAGAGACTATTTTGTGATGTGTGCGTTCAAGTCACAGAGTTTAACCTTTCTTTTGATAGAGCAGTTTTGAAACCCTCTGATGTAAAGTCTGCAAGGGGATATTTGGAGGGCTTTGAGGCCTTCCTGGAAACGGGAGAATCTTCACATAAAAAGCAGACAGAAGTATTCTCAGAAATTTCCTTGTGATGTCTGCACTCAACTCACAGAGTTGAACCTTCCTTTTGATAGAGCAGTTTTGAAACACCCTTTTTGTAGTACTTGCAAGTGGATATTTAGAGCGCTTTGGGGCCAATGGTAGAAAAGAAAATATCTTCGTAGGAAAACTACACAGAAGCTTTCTCAGATACCACATTGTGATGTTTGCATTCAGCTCACAGACATGAACATTCCTTTTGATAGAGCAGTTTTGTAACACTCTTTTTGTAGATCTGGAAGAGCATATATGGACCACTTTGAGGCCTTCATTGGAACCGGGCATTTCTTCATGAAAATCTAGTCAGAATTCTCAGAAATTCCTTGTGATGTGTGCATTCAACTCACAGAGTTGAACGTTCCTTTCAATAAAGCAGTTTTGAAACATTTTTATTGTAGAATGTCCAAGTGGATATTTAGGGCGCCTTGAGGCCTATGGTAGAAAAGGAAATATCTTCATATAAAAAGTAGACAGAATTATTCTCACAAACCACATGGTGACGTGCGTGTTCAACTCACTGAGTTTAACTTTTCTTTTGATAGAGCAGTTTTGAAACACCCTTTTTGTAGAATTTGCAAGTGTGTATTTGGAGCGCTTTGTGGCCTATGTTAGAGTAGTAAATATCTTCACATAAAAACTAGATAGAAGCATTCTCAGAAACTACTTTGTGATGTTTGCATTCAACTCACAGAGTTCAACATTCCTCTTGATAGAGCGGTTTTGAAACACTCTTTTGTAGAATCTGCAATTGTATATATGGAACTCTTTGAGGCCTTCGTTGGAAACGGGATCTCCTCATATAAAACTAGATGGAAGAATTCTCAGAAACTTCTTTGTGATATGTGCATTCAACTCACAGATATGAACATTCTTTTTGATATAGCAGATTTGAAACACTCTTTTTGTAGAATTTCCAAGTGGATATTTAGAGCGCTTTGAATCCTATGGTAGAAGAGGAAATATCTTCATATAAAAACTAGACAGAATCATTCCCAGAAACCACTTTGTGATGCGTGCATTCAACCCACAGAGTTGAACCTTTCTTTTGATAGAGAGGTTTTGAAACACTCTTTTTGTAGAATCTACATGTGGACATTTGGAGCACTTGGAGACCTATGGTGATAAAGGAAATATCTTCACATAAAAACTAGACAGAAGCATTCTCAGAAACCAATTTGTGATATTTGCATTCAACTCACAGAGTTGAACATTCCCCTTGATAGTGCAGATTTGAAACCCTCTTTTTGTAGAATCTGCAAGTGGATATTTGGACGTCTTTGAGGCCTTCGTTGGAAACGGGATTTCTTTATATAAAACTAGACAGAAGAATTCTCAGAAACATCTTTGTGATGTGTGCATTCAACTCACAGAGATGAACTTTCCTTTTGCTAGAGCAGATTTGAAACACTCTTTTTTTACGGTTTCCTAGTGGATATTTAGAGCGCTTTGAATCTTATGGTAGAAAAGGAAATATCTTCTTATAAAACTAGACAGAATCATTCTCAGAAACTACTTTGTGACGTAGTTGGGCCACTTTGGGGCCTACGGTAGAGAAGGAAATATCCTGGTAGAAAAACTACACAGAATCATTCGCAGAAACCACATTGTGATGTTTGCAATCAACTCACAGAGTTGAACATTCCTTTTGATAGAGCAGATTTTTAACACTCTTTTTGTAGTATTTACAGGTGGATATTTGGACCTCTTTGAGGCCTTCGTTGGAACAGGAAATTTCTTGATAAATAAACTAGACAGAATTCTCAGAAACTTCTTTTGATGTGTGCATTCAACTCACAGAGTTGAAAGTTCCTTTCAATAGAACAGTTTTGAAACATTCTTTCTGTAGAATTTCCAAGTGGATATTTAGGACGCTTTGACGCCTATGGTAGAACAGGAAATATTTTCCTATAAAATCTAGACAGACTCATTCTCAGAAACTACTTTGTGATGTGTGCTTTCAACTCACTGATTTTAACGTTTCTTTTGATAGAGCAGTTTTGAAACATTCTATTTGTAGAATTTGCAAGCGTGTATTTAGAGTGCTTTGAGGCCTACGGTAGAAAAGGAAATATCTTCACAAAAAACTAGACCGAAGCATTATCAGAAACTACTTTGTGATGTTTGCATTCAACTCACAGATTTGAACATTCCTCTTGATAGAGCAGTTTTGACACACTCTTTTTGCAGAATCTGCAAGTGGATATTTGGACTTCTTTGAGGCATTCGTTGGAAACAGGAATTCTTCAAATAAAACTAGACAGAACAATTCTCAGAAACTTCTTTGTGATGTGTGCATTCAAATCACAGTGATGAGCCTTCCTTTTTGATAGAGCAGATTTGAAACACCCTATTTCTAGAATTTCCAATTGGATATTAAGGGCGCATTTAGGCCTATCGTAGAAATGGAAATATCTTCATATAAAAACTAGACAGAATCATTCTCAGAAACTATTTTGTGATGTCTGCATTCAACTCACTGAGTTTAGCCTCTCTTTTTATAGGGCAGTTTTGAAACACTCGTTTTGTTGAATTTGCAAGTGGAGATTAAAGCGCTTTGAGGCCGATGGTAGAAAAGGAAAGATCTTCACATAAAAACTAGACAGAAGATTTTTCAGAAACTATTTGTGATGTGTGCATTCAACTCAGAAAGTTTAACTTTTCTTTTGAAAGAGCAGTTTTGAATCACTCTGCTTGTAAAGTCTGCATCTGGATATTTGGAGTGCTTTGAGATTTTGTTGGAAACGGGAATATCTTCACATAAAAAGGAGACAGAGGTTTCCCCAGAATCTTCTTTGTGATGTCTGTACTCAACTCACAGAGGTGAACCTTCCTTTTGATAGAACAGTTTCGAAACACTCTTTTTGTGGGGTTTGCAAGTGGATATTAAGAACGCTTTGTGGGCTATGATAGAAAAGGAAATATCTTCATATAAAAAATACACAGAATCATTCTCAGAAACTACTTGGTGATGTGTTCGTTCTACTCAGAGGGTTTAAACTTTCCTTTGACAGAGCAGTTTTGAAACCCTGTTTGTAAAGTCTGCAAGAGGATGTTTGGAGGGCTTTGAGGCCTTCTTTGGAAACGCGAGTATCTTCACATAAAAAGCAGAGAGAAGTATTCTCAGAAACTTCCTTGTGATGTCTGCACTCAACTCAAAAAGTTAGACTTTCCTTTCGATAGAGAAGTTTTGAAACCCTCCTTTTGTGGAATTTGCAAGTGGATATATAAAGCGATCTGAGTCCTATGGTAGAAAAGCAATTATCTTCATAAAAAAACCAGATAGATTCATTCTCAAAAATTACTTTGGGATGTTTTCATTCAACTCACACAGTTCAACATTCCTTTTGATACAGCTGTTTTGAAACACTCCTTTTGTAGAAGCTGTAAGTGGATATCTGGAACTTTTTGAGGCCTTCGTTGGAAACGGGATTTCTTCATATAAAGCTAGACAGAAGAATGTTATGAAAGTTCTTTGTGATGTGTGTATTCAACTCACAGAGTTTAACTTTTCTTTTGATAGACCAGTTTTGAAACACTTTTTTTGTGGAAATTGCAAGTGGGGATTTCAAGCGATTTGAGGCCAATCTTAGAAACGGAAATATCTTTGTATAAAACCTAGACAGAATCATTCTCAAAAACTACTTTGTGATGTGTGCGTTCAACTCACAGAGTTTAACCTTTCTTTTCATAGAGCAGTTTGGAAACACTCTGATTGTAAAGTCTGCAAGTGGATATTTGGACCTCTTTGAGGCCTTCGTTGGAAACGGGATTTCTTCATATAATGATAGATAGAAGAATTCTCAGTAACTTCTTTGTGTTGTGTGTATTCAACTCACAGAGTTGAAACTTCCTTTAGAGAGAGCTGATTTGAAATACTCTTTTTGTGGAATTTGCAAGTGCAGATTTGAAGCGATTTGATGCTAATGGTAGAAAAGGAAATACCTTCGTATAAAAATTAGACAGAATGATTCTCAGAAACTACTTTGTGATGTGTGCATTCAACTCACAGAGTTTAACTTTTCTTTTCATAGATAAGTTTGGAAACACTCTGTTTGTAAAGTCTGCAAGTGGATATTTGGACCTCTTTGAGGCCTTCGTTGGAAACGGGTTTTCTTCATATAATGCTAGACAGAAGAATTCTCAGTAACTTCTTTGTGTTGTGAGTATTCAACTCACAGAGTTGAACATTCCTTTAGACACAGCAGATTTGAAACTCTCTTCTTGTGGAATTTTCAGGTGGAGATTTCAAGCGATTTGAGGCCAATGGTAGAAAAGGACATATCTTCGTATAAAAACTAGACAGAATCATTCTCAGAAACTGCTTTGTGATGTGTGCATTCAACTCACAGAGTTTAACCTTTCTTTTCTTAGAGCAGTTTGGAAACAGTCTGTTTGTAAAGTCTGCAAGTGGATATTTGGACCTCTTTGAGGCCCTCGTTGGAAACGAGATATCTTCATATAATGCTAGACAGAAGAATTCTCAGTAACTTCTTTGTGTTGTGTGTATTCAACTCACAGAGTTGAACCTTTCTTTAGACAGACCAGATTTGAAACTCTCTTTCTGTGGATTTTGCAGGTGGAGATTTCAAGCGATTTGAGACCAATGGTAGAAATGGAAATATCTTCGTATACAAACAAGACAAAATCGTTCTCAGAAACTACTTTGTGATGTGGGCATTCAACTCACAGAGTTCAACATTTCTTTTCATAGACCAGTTCGGAAACACCCTGTTTGTAAAGTCAGGAAGTGAATATTTGGACATCTTTGAGGCTTTCGCAGGAAACGAGATTTCTTCATATAATGCTAGACAGAAGAATTCTCAGTAACTTCTTTGTGTTCTGGGTATTCAACTCACAGAGTTGAACCTTCCTTTAGACACAGCAGATTTGAAACTCTCTTTTTGTGGAATTATCAGGTTGAGATTTCAAGCGATTTGAGGCCAATGGTAGAAAAGGACATATCTTCATATAAAAACTAGACAGAATCATTCTCAGAAACTACTTTGCGATGTGTGCGTTCAACTCACAGAGTTTGAACGTTCTTTTCATAGAACAGTTTGGAAACACTTTGTTTGTAAAGTCTGCAAGTGGATACTTGGACCACTTTCAGGCCTCCGTTAGAAACGGGATTGCTTCATATAATGCTAGACAGAAGATTTCTCAGTAACTTCTTTGTGTTGTGTGTATTCAACTCACAGAGTTGAAACTTTCTTAAGACAGAGCAGATTTGAAACTCTCTTTTCGTGGCTTTTGAAAGTGGAGATTTCAAGCGATTTGAGGCCAATGGTGGAAAAGGAAATATCTTCGTATAAAAACTAGACAGAATCATTCTCAGAAACTACTTTGCAATGTGCGCATTGAACTCCAGAGTTTAACCGTTCTTTTCATAGAACAGTTTGGAAACACTCTGTTCGTAAATTCTGCAAGTGGATATTTGGACCTCTTTGAGGCCTTCGTTGGAAAAGGGATTTCTTCATATAATGCTAGACAGAAGAATTCTCAGTAACTTCTTTGTGTTGTGTGTATTTAACTCACAGAGTTGAACCATCCTTCATACAGAGCAGTTTTGAAACTCTCTTTTTGTTAAATTTGCAAGAGGAGATTTCAAGCGATTTGAGGCCAATCTTAGAAATCGAAATATTTTCATATAAAAACTAGACAGAATCATTCACAGAAACTATTTTGTGATGTGTGCGTTCAACTCAAAGAGTTTAACCTTTCTTTTCATAGAGCAGTTGGGAAACTCTCTCTTTGTAAAGTCTGCAAGTGGATATTTGGACCTATTTGAGGTCTTCGTTGGAAACGGGATTTCTTCATATAATGCTAGACAGAAAAATTGTCAGTAACTTCTATGTGTTGTGTGTACTCAACTCACAGAGTTGAACCTTACTTTAGACACAGCAGATTCGAAACTCTCTTTTTGTGGAATTTGCAGGTGGAGATTTGAAGCGCTTTGAGGAAAATGGTAGAAAAGGAAATATTTTCGTATAAAAACTAGACAGAATCATTCCCAGAAACTCCTTTGCGATGTGCGCGTTCAACGCTCAGAGTTTAACCTTTCTTTTCATAGAGCAGATTGGAAACAATCTGTTTGTAAAGTCTGCAAGTGGATATTTGGAAGCCTTTGAGGCTTTCGTTGGGAACGGGATTTCTTCTTATAATGCTAGACAGATGAATTCTCAGTAACTTCTTTGGGTTGTGTGTATTCAACTCACAGAGTTGAACCTTTCTTTAGACAGAGCACTTTTGAAAGTCTGTTTTCTTTGATTTTGCAAGTGGAGAATTCAAGGGATTTGAGGCCAATGGTAGAAAAGGAAATATCTTCGTATAAAAACTAGACAGAATCACTCCCAGAATCTATTTTGCGATGTGTACGTTCAACTCACAGAGTTCAACATTTCTTTTCATAGAGAAGTTTGGAAACACTCTATTTGTAAGCTCTGCAAGTGGATATTTGGACCTCTTTGAGGCCTTCGTTGGAAACGGGATTTCTTCATATAATTATAGACAGAAGAATTCTCGGTAACTTCTTTGTGTTGTTTGTATTGAACTCACAGAGTTTAACCTTCCTTTACACAGAGCAATTTTGAAAAATTTTTTTGTGGCTTTTGCAAGTGGAGATTTCAAGCGATTTGGGGCCCATATTAGAAATGGAAATATCTTCGTATAAAAACTAGACAGAATCATTCTCAGAAACTGCTTTGTGATGTGTGCGTTCAACTCACTGAGTTAAACTTTCTTATCATAGAGCAGTTTGGAAACACTCTATTTGTAAAGTCTGCAAGTGGATATTTGGACCTCTTAGAGGCCTTCGTTGGAAACGGGATTTCTTCATATAATGCTAGACAGAAGAATGCTCAGTAAGTTCTTTGTGTTATGTGTATTCAACTCACAGAGTTGAACCTTCCTTTAGACACAGCAGATTCGAAACTCTCTTTTTGTGGAACTTGCAGCTGGAGTTTTCAAGCTCTTTGAGGCCAACGGTAGAAAAGGAAATATCTTCCTATAAAAACTAGACAGAATCATTCTCAGAAACTACTTTGTGATGTGTACGTTCAACTCACAGAGTTTAACCTGTCTTTTAATTGAGCAGTTTGGAAACACTCTGTTTGTAAAATCTGCAAGTGGATATTTAGACCTCTTTGAGCCCTTCGTTGGAAACGGGACTTCTTCATATAATACTAGACAGAAGAATTCTCAGTAACTTCTTTGTGTTGTGTGTATTCAACTCACAGAGTTGAACTTTATTTAGACAGAGCAGATTGGAAACTCTCTTTTCGTGGCTTTTGCAAGTGGAGATTTCCAGCGATTAGAGGCCAATGGTAGAAAAGGACATATCTTCGTATAAAAACTAGACAGAATCATTCTCAGAAACTACTTTGTGATGTGTGCATTCAAATCACAGAGTTTAGCCTTTCTTTTCATAGAGCAGTTTGGAAACATTCTGTTTGTAAAGTCTGCAAGTGGATATTTGGACCTCTTTGAGGCCTTCGTTGGAAACGGGATTTCTTCATTTAATGCTAGACAGAAGAATTCTCAGTAAATTCTTTCTGTTGTGTGTATTCAACACACAGAATTGAACCTTCCTTTAGTCACAGCAGATATGAAACTCTCTTTTTGTGGAATTTTCAGATGGAGATTTCAAGCAAATTGAGGACAATGTTAAAAAACGAAATTTCTTCGTATAGAATCTAGACAGAATCATTCCCAGAAACTACTTTGTGATGTCTGCGTTCATCTCATAGAAATTAACCGTTCTTTTCATAGAGCAGTTTGGAAAAACTCTATTTGTAACGTCTCCAAGTGGATATTTGGACCTCTTTGAGGCCTTTGTTGGAAACGGGATTCCTTCATATAGTGCTACATACAAGAATTCTCAGTAACTTCTTTGTCTTTTGTGTATTCAACTCACAGAGTTAAACCCTCCTTTAGACAGAGCATTGTTGAAACACTCTGTTTGTGGAATTTCCAAGTGGAGATTTCAAGCGATTTGAGGCCAATCTTAGAAATGGAAATATCTTCGTATAAAAACTAGACAGAATCATTCTCAGAAACTAATTTGTGATGTGTGCGTTCAACTCACAGAATTTACCCTTTCTTTTCATAGAGCTGTTTGGAAACACTCTGTTTGTAAAGTCTGCAAGTGGATATTTGGACCTCTTTGAGGCCTCCGTTGGAAACGGAGTTTTTTCATATAATGCTAGACAGAAGAATTCTCAGTAACTTCTTTGTGTTGTGCGTACTCAAGTCACAGAATGGAACCTTCCTTTAGTCACAGCAGATTTGAAACGCTCTTTTTGTGTAGTTTGCAAGTGGAGATTTCAAGCAATTTGTGACCAATGGTAGAAAAGGAAATATATTCGTATAAAAACTAGACAGAATTATCCGCAGAAACTACTTCGTGATGTGCGGGTTCCACTCACAGAGTTTAACCTTTCTTTTCATAGACCAGTTTGGAAACACTCTGTTTGTAAAGTCTGCAAGTGGATAATTGGACCTCTTTGTGGCCTTCGTTGGAAACGGAATTTCCTCATTTAATGCTAGATAGAAGAATTCTCAGTAACTTCTTTGTGTTGTGTGTATTCAACTCACAGAGTTGAACCTTTCTTTAGAGAGAGCATATTTGAAACACTCTTTTTGTGGTATTTGCAAGTGGAGATTTCAAGCGCTTTGAGGAAAATGGTAGAAAAGGAAATATCTTTGTATAAAAACTAGACAGAATCATTCTCAGAAACTACTTTGCGATGTGTGCATTCAACTCACAGTGTTTAACCTTTCTTTTCATAGAGCAGTTTGGAAAGACTCTGTCTGTAAAGTCTGCAAGTGGATATTTGGACGTCTTAGAGGCCTTCGTTGGAAACGGGATTTCTTCATATACTGCTAGACAGAAGAATTCTCAGTAACTTCTTTGTGTTGTGTGTATTCAACTCACCCAGTTGAACCTTCCTTTATTCAGAGCAGTTTTGAAACACTCTTCTTGTGGAATTTGCAAGTGGAGATTTAAAGCAATTTGAGGCCAATCTTAGAAATAGAAATATCTTCGAATTATAACTACACAGAATCATTCGCAGAAACTAGTTTGTGATGTGTGGGTTCAACTCACAGAGTTTAACCTTTGTTTTCACAGAGCAGTTTGGAAACACTCTATTTGTAAAGTCTGCAAGTGGATATTTGGATCTCTTTGAGGCCTTCATTGGAATCGGGATTTCTTCAAATAATGCTAGACAGAAGAATTCTCAATAACTTCTTTGTGTTGTGTGTATTCAACTCACAGAGTTTAACCTTGCTTTACAGACAGCGTATTTGAAACACGCTTTTTGTGGGATTTGCTACTGCAGATTTCAAGTGCTTCGAGGACAATGGTAGAAAAGGAAATATCTTCGTATTAAAACTAGACAAAATCATTCTCAGAAACTACTTTGTGATGTTTGCGTTCAACTCACAGAGTTCAAACTTTCTTTTAATTGAGCAGTATGGAAACACTCACTTTGTAAAGTCTGCAAGTGGATATTTGGACGTCTTAGGTCCCTTTGTTGGAAACGGGATTTCTCCATATAATGCTAGACAGAAGAATTCTCAGTAACTTCTTTGTGTTGTGTGTATTCAAGTCACAGAGTTGAAACTTGATTTAGAGAGAGCGGATTTGAAACACGCTTTTTGTGGAATTTGCTACTGCAGATTTCAAGCGCTTCGAGTACAATGGTAGAAAAGGAAATATCTTCGTATTAAAAATAGACAAAATCATTCGCAGAAACTACTTTGTGATTTGTGCATTCAATTCACAGAGTTTAACCTTTCTTTTAAAAGAGCAGTTTGGAAACACTCTGTTTGTAAACTCTGCAAGTGGATATTTGGACCTCTAAAGGCTCTTCTTTGGAAACGGTATTTCTGCATATAATGATAGACAGAAGAATTCTCAGTAACTTCTTTGTGTTGTGAGTATTCAACTCTCAGAATTCAACCTTTCTTTAGACAGAGCAGATTTGAAACTCTCTTTTCGTGGTATTTGCAAGTGGAGATTTAAAGCGATTTGAGGCCAATGGTAGAAAAGGAAATATCTTTGTATAAAAACTAGACAGAATCATTCTCAGAAACTACTTTGTGTTGTGTGCGTTCAACTCACAGAGTTTAACCTTTCTTTTCATAGAGCAATTTGGAAACACTCTGTTTGTAAATTCTGCAAATGGATAATTGGACCTCTTTGAAGCCCTCGTTGGAAACGGGCTTCCTTCAAATAATGCTAAACAGAAGAATTCTCAGTAGATTCTTTGTATTGAGTTCATTCAACTCACAGAGTTGAACCTTCCTTTAGAGAGAGCAGATTTGAAACACGCTTTTTGTGGAATTTGCTAGTGCAGATTTCAAGCGCTTTGAGGACAATTGTAGAAGAGGAAATATCTTCATATTAAAACAAGACAAAATCATTCTCAGAAACTACTTTGTGATGTGTGCGTTTATCTCACAGAGTTTAACCTTTCTTTTCATAGAGCAGTTTGGAAACACTCTGTTTGTAATGTCTCCAAGTGGTATTTGGAGTTCTTTGAGGCCTTCGTTGGAAACGGGATTTCTTCATATTATTCTAGACAGAAGAATTCTCAGTAACTTCTTTGTGTTGTGTTTATTCAACTCACAGAGTTGAACTTTCCTTTATTCAGAGCAGTTTTGAAACACTCTTTTTGTGGAATTTGCAAGTGGAGATTTCAAGCGATTTCAGGCCAATCTTAGAAATGGAAATATCTTCGTATTAAAACTACACTACCTCTTTTGCTGAAACTAGTTTGTGATGTGTGCGTTCAACTCACAGAGTTTAATCTTTCTTTTCATAGAGCAGTTTGGAAACACTCTGTTTGTAATGTCTGCAAGTGGATATTTGGACCTCTTTGAGGCCTTTGTTGGAAACGGGATTTCTTCATATAATGCTAGACAGAAGAATTCTCGGTAACTTCTTTGTGTTGTGTGTATTCAACTGACAGAGTTGAACTTTCCTTTAGACAGAGCCGTTTTGGAAAACTCCTTCTGTCGAATTTACAAGTGGAGATTTCAAGCGATTTGAGGTCAATCTTTGAAATGGAAATATCTTCGTGTAAAATCTAGACAGAATCATTCTCAGAAACTACTTTGTGATATGTGCGTTCAACTCACAGAGTTTAACCTTTCTTTTCATAGAGCAGTTTGGAAACACTCTGTGTGAAATGTCTGCAAGTGGATATTTGGACCTCTTTGAGGCCTTCTTTGGAAGCGGGTTTTCTTCATGTAATGCTACACAGAAGAATTCTCACTAACTTCTTTGTGTTGTGTGTATTCAACTCACAGAGTTTAACCTTTCTTTAGACAGAGCAGATTTGATACTGTCTTTTCGTGGTTTTTGCAAGTGGAGATTTCAAGCGATTTTTGCCAATGGTAGAAATGTAAACATCTTCATATAAAAACTACACAGAATGATTCTCAGAAACTACTTTGTGATGTGTGCTTTCAACTCACAGAGTTTAACTTTCCTTTCATAGACCAGTTAGGAAACACTCTGTTTGTAAATTCTGCAGGTGGATATTTGGACCTCTATGAGCCCTTCGTTGGAAACGGTATTTCTGCATATAATGCAAGACAGAAGAGTTCTCACAAACTTCTTTCTGTTGTTTTTGTTCAACTCACCGTGATGAACCCTTCTTTAGACAGAGCACATTTGAAACTCTCTTTTCATGGCTTTTGCAAGTGGAGACCTCAAGCGATTTGAGGCCAATGGTAGAAAAGGAAATATCTTAGTATGAAAACTAGACAGAATCATTCTCAGAAACTAATTTCTGAGGTGTGCGTTCAACTCACAGAGATTAACTTTTCTTTTCGTAGAGTAGTTTGGAAAGACTCTGTCTGTAAAGTCTGCAAGTGGATATTTCGACTTCTTAGAGGCCTTCGTTGGAAATGGGATTTCTTCATATACTGCTACACAGAAGAATTCTCAGTAATTCCTTTGTGTTTTGTGTATTCAACTCACGGAGTTGAACCTATCTTTATTCAGAGCAGTTTTGAAACACTCTTTTTCTGGAATTTGCAAGTAGAGATTTCAAGCCATTTGAGGCCAATCTTAGATATGGAAATATCTTCATATTAAAACTACACAGAATCATTCGCAGAAACTAGTTTGTGATGTGTGCTTTCAAGTCACAGAGTTTAACCTTTCTTTTCATAGAGCAGTTTGAAAACACTCTATTTGTAAAGTCTCCCGGTGGATATTAGGATCTCTCTGAGGCCTTCGTTGGAAACTGGATTTCTTAAAATAATGCTAGACAGAAGAATTCTCAGTAACTTCTTTGTGTTGTGTGCATTCATCTCACAGAGATGAACCTTCTCTTAAAGAGAGCAGATTAGAAACACGCCTTTTGTGGGATTTGCTACTGCAGATTTCAAGCGCTTCGAGGAGAATGGTAAAAAAAAAATATCTTCGTATTAAAATTAGACAAAATCATTCTCAGTAACTACTTTGTGATGTGTACATCCAACTCACAGAGTTTAACCTTTCTTTTAGTTGAGCACTTTGGAAACACTCTCTTTGTAAAGTCTGAAAGAGGATACTAGGACTTCTTTGAGCCCTTCATTGGATACGGGACTTCTTCATATAATGGTACACAGAAGTATTCTCCGTAACTTCTTTGTGTTGTGTGTATTCAACTCAGAGAGTTGAACCTTCCTTTACAGAGAGCAGATTTGAAACACTCTTTTTGTAGAGTTTGCAAGAGCAGATTTCAAGCACTTCTAGGCCTATGGTAGAAAAGGAAATATCTTCGTATGAAAACTAGACAGAATCATTCTCAAGAACTACTTTGTGATGTGTGCGTTCAACTCACAGAGTTTAACCTTTCTTTTCATAGAGCAGTTTGGAAACACTCTGTTTGTAAAGTCTGCAAGTGGATATTTGGACTTCTTTGAGGCCTTCTTTGGAAACGGGTTTTCTTCATGCAATGCTAGATAGAAGAATTCTCACTAACTTTTTGTGTTTTGTGTATTCAACTCACACAGTTGAACCTTCCTTTACAAAGAGCAGATTTGAAACTCTCTTTTCGTGGCTTTTGCAAGTGGAGATTTCAAGCGATTTGGTGCCAAATGTAGAAATGTAAATGTCTTCATATAAAAACTACACAGAATTATTCTCGGAAACTACTTTGTGATGTGTGCGTTCAACTCACAGAGTTTAACCTTTCTTTTCATAGAGCAGGTAGGAAACACTCTGTGTGTAAATTCTGCAGGAGGATATTTGGACCTCTAGGAGCCCTTCGTTGGAAACGGGATTTCTGCATATAAAGCTAGACAGAAGAATTCTCACTAACTTCTTTCTGTTGTTTTTATTCAAATCACAGGATTGAACCTTTCTTTAGGCAGAGCAGATTTGAAACTCTCTATTCCTGGCTTTTGCAAGTGGAGATTTCAAGCGATTTGAGGCCAAAGGTAGAAAAGGAAATAACTTCGTATAATAACTAGACAGAATCATTCTGAGAAACTACTTTGTGATGTGTCCGTGCAACTCAGAGAGGTTAACCTTTCTTTTCATAGAGCAGTTTGGAAAGACTCTGTAAAGTCTGCAAGTGGATATTTGGACATCTTAGAGGCCTTCGTTGGAAACGGGATTTCTTCATATACTGCTAGACAGAGGAATTCTCAGTAACTTCTTTGTGTTGTGTGTATTCAACTCACAGAGTTGAACCTTCCTTTATTCAGAGCAGTTTTGAAATACTCTTTTTGTGGAATTTGCAAGTGGAGATTTAAAGTGATTTGAGGCCAATCTTAGAAATGGAAATATCTTCAAATTAAAACTACACAGAATCATTCGCAGAAACTAGTCTGTGATGTGTGGGTTCAACTCACAGAGTTTCACCTTTGTTTTCATTGAGCAGTTTGGAAACACTCTGTTTGTAAGGTCTGCAAGTGGATAGTTCGATCTCTTTGAGGCCTTCGTTGGAAACGGGATTTCTTCACATAATGCTAGACAGAAGAATTCTCAGTAGCTTCTTTGTGTTGTGTGTATTCAACTCACAGAGTAGAACCTTCCTTTAGACAGAGTAGTTTTGAAATACTCTTTCTGTGGAATTTGTAAGAGGAGATTTCAAGCGATTTGAGGTCAATCTTTGAAATGGAAATATCTTCGTGTAAAAACTAGACTGAATCATTCTCAGAAACTACTTTGTGATGTGTGCGTTCAACTCACAGAGTGTAACCTTGCATTCCATAGAGCCGTTTTGAAACACTCTGTGTGTTATCTCTGCAAGAGGTATTTGGACCTCTTTGAGGTCTTCGTTGGAAACGGGTTTTCTTCATGTAATGCTAGACAGAAGAATTCTCACAAACTTCTTTGCGTTGTGTGTATTCAACTCCCAGAGTTGAACCTTTCTTTAGACAGAGCAGTTTAGAAACTCTCTTTTAGTGGCTTTTGCAAGTGGAGATTTCAAGCGATTTGATGCCAATGGTAGAAATGTAAATATCTTCATATAAAAACTAAACAGAATCATTCTCAGAATCTAATTAGTGATGCGTGCGTTCAACTCACAAAGTTTAACCTTTCTTTTCATAGATCATTTAGGAAACACTCTGTTAATTCTGCAAGTAGATATTTGGACCACTATGAGCCCGTCGTTGGAAAGGAGATTTCTTCATATACTCCTAGACAGAACAATTCTCTCTAACTTCTTTCTGTTGCTTTTATTCAACTCACAGAGTTGAGACTTTCTTCAGACAGAGCAGATTTGAAACTCTCCTTTTTGGAATTTGCACGTGCAAATTTCAAGTGCTTCTAGGACTATGGCAGAAAAGGAAGTATCTTAGTATAACAACTACACAGAATCATTCTCAAGAAATACTTTGTGATGTGTGCGTTCAACTCACACAGTTTTATCTTTCTGTTCATAGAGCAGTTTGGGAACACTCTGTTTGTAAAGTCTGCAAGTGGATATTCGGACCCCTTTGAGGCCTTCGTTGGAAACGGGATTTCTTCATATAACGCTAGACAGAAGAATTCTCAGTAATTTCTTTGTGTTGTGTGTATTCAACTCACAGAGTTGAACATTTCTTTAGAGAGAGCAGATTGGAAACACGTTCTGTGGAATTTGCTAGTGCAGATTTCAAACGCTTCGAGGACAATGGTAGAAAAGGATATATCTTCGTATTAAAACGAGACAAAATCATTCTCAGAAAACACTTTGTGATGTGTGTGTTCAACTCACAGAATTTAACCTTTCTTTAATCGAGCAGTTTGGAAATACACTCTTTGTAAAGTCTGCAAGTGGATAATTGGCCCTCTTTGAGCCCTTCGTTGGAAACGGGATTTCCTCATATAGTGCTAGACAGAAGAATTCTCAGTAACTTCTTTGTGTTGTTTGTATTCAACTCACAGATTTGAACCTTCCTTTAGAGAGAGCAGATTTGAAACACTCTGTTCTTGGAATTTGCAAGTGCAGATTTCAAGCGCTTCTAGGCCTATGGCAGAAAAGGGAATATCTTCGTATAAAAACTACACAGAATCATTCTCAAAAACTACTTTGTGATGTGTGCGTTCAACTCACAGAGTTTAACCTTTCTTTTCATAGAGCAGTTTGGAAACACTCTGTTTGTAAAGTCTGCAGGTGCTTATTTGTACTTCTTTGAGGCCTTCGTTGGAAACGGGATTTCTTCATATAATGCTAGACAGAAGAATTCTCAGTCACTTCTTTGTGTTGTGGTATTCAAGTCACAGAGTTGAAACTTCCTTTAGACCGAGTAGTTTTGAAAAACTCTTTCTTTGGAATTTGCAACTGGAGGTTTCAAGCAATTTGAGGCCAATCTTTGAAATGGAATTATCTTCGTGTAAAAACTACACAGAATCATTCTCACAAACTGCTTTGTTATGTGTGCGTTCAACTCACAGAGTTTCACCTTTCTTTTCATACAGCAGTTTGGAAAGACTCTGTCTGTAAAGTATGCAAGTGATTACTTGGACCCCTTTGATGACTTCGTTGGAAGCGGGATTTTTTAATTTACTGCTATACAGAAGAATTCTCAGTAAATCCTTTGTGTTGTGTGTATTCAACTCACAGAGTTGAACCTCCCTTTATTCAGAGCAGTTTTGAAACACTCTTTTTGTGGAATTTGCAAGTGGAGATTTCAAGCGATTTCACGCCAATCTTAGACATGGAAATATCTTCTTATTTAAAGTACACAGAGTCATTCGCAGAAACTAGATTGTGATGTGTGCCTGCAATTCACAGACTTTAACTTTCTTTTCATAGAGCAGTTTGGAAACACTCTATTTGTAAAGTCTGCAAGTGGATATTTCGACCTCTTTGAGGCCTTCATTGGAAACGGGATTTCTTCATATAACGCTAGACAGAAGAATTCTCAGTAACTTCTTTGTGTTGTGTGTATTCAACTCACAGAGTTGAACCTTTCTTTAGAGAGAGCAGATTTGAAACACTCTTTTTGTGGAATTTGCTAGTGCAGATTTCAAACGCTTCGAAGACGATGATGGAAAAGGATATATCTTCATATTAAAACTAGACAAAATCATTCTCAGAAAACACTTTGTGATGTGTGTGTTCAACTCACAGAGTTTAACCTTTCTTTAATTGAGCAGTTTGGAAATACACTCTTTGTAAACTCTGCAAGTGGATAATTGGCCCTCTTTGAGCCCTTCGTTGGAAACGGGATTTCCTCATATAGTGCTAGACAGAAGAATTCTCAGTAACTTCTTTGTGTTGTTTGTATTCAACTCACAGATTTGAACCTTCCTTTAGAGAGAGCAGATTTCAAACACTCTTTTTTTGGAATTTGCAAGTGCAGATTTCAAGCGCTTCTAGGCCTATGGCAGAAAAGGGAATATCTTCGTATAAAAACTACACAGAATCATTCTCAAAAACTACTTTGTGATGTGCGTGTTCAACTCACAGAGTTTAACCTTTCTTTTCATAGAGCAGTTTGGAAACACTCTGTTTGTAAAGTCTGCAGGTGCTTATGTGGACTTCTTTGAGGCCTTCGTTGGAAACGGGATTTCTTCATATAATGCTAGACAGAAGAATTCTCAGTCACTTCTTTGTGCTGTGGTATTCAAGTCACAGAGTTGAAACTTCCTTTAGACCGAGCAGTTTTGAAAAACTCTTTGTGTGGAATTTGCAAGTGGTGATTTCATGCGATTTGAGGCCAATCTTTGAAATGGAAATATCTTCGTGTAAAAACTACACAGAATCATTCTCAGAAACTGCTTTGTTATGTGTGCATTCAACTCACAGAGTTTCACCTTTCTTTTCATAGAGCAGTTTGGAAAGACTCTGTCTGTAAAGTCTGCAAGTGAATACTTGGACCCCTTTGAGGCCTTCGTTGGAAGCTTGATTTTTTCACTTACTGCTAGACAGAAGAATTCTCAGTAAATCCTTTGTGTTATGTGTATTCAACTCACAGAGTTGAACCTTCCTTTATTCAGAGCAGTTTTGAAACACTCTTTTTGAGGAATTTGCAAGTGGAGATTTCAAGCGATTTGACGCCAATCTTACACATGGAAATATCTTCGTATTAAAAGAACACAGACTCATTCGCAGAAACAAATTTGTGACGTGTGCCTTCAACTCACAGAGTTTAACCTTTCTTTTTATAGAGCAGTTCGGAAACACTCTATTTGTAAAGTCTGCAAGTGGATATTTGGACCTCTTTGAGGCCTTCGTTGGAAACGGGATTTCTTCATATAACGCTAGAAAGAAGAATTCTCAGTAAATTCTTTGTGTTGTGTGTATTCAACTCACAGAGTTAAACCTTTCTTTAGAGAGAGCAGATTTGACAGACTCTTTTTGTGGAATTTGCTGGTGCAGATTTCAAACGCTTCGAAGACAATGATAGAAAAGGATATATCTTCGTATTAAAACTAGACAAAATCATTCTCAGAAAACACTTTGTGATGTGTGTGTTCAACTCACAGAGCTTAACCTTTCTTTAATCGAGCAGTTTGGAAATACACTCTTTGTAAAGTCTGCTAGTGGGTAATTGGCCCTCTTTGAGCGCTTCGTTGGAAACGGGATTTCCTCATATAGTGATAGACAGAAGAAT
>NC_000010.11:39570672-39585287 GCF_000001405.40 Homo sapiens
AAATGGAAATATCTTCGTGTAAAAACTAGACTGAATCATTCTCAGAAACTACTTTGTGATGTGTGCGTTCAACTCACAGAGTGTAACCTTGCTTTCCATAGAGCCGTTTTGAAACACTCTGTGTGTTATGTCTGCAAGAGGTATTTGGACCTCTTTGAGGTCTTCGTTGGAAACGGGTTTTCTTCATGTAATGCTAGACAGAAGAATTCTCACAAACTTCTTTGCGTTGTGTGTATTCAACTCCCAGAGTTGAACCTTTCTTTAGACAGAGCAGTTTAGAAACTCTCTTTTCGTGGCTTTTGCAAGTGGAGATTTCAAGCGATTTGATGCCAATGGTAGAAATGTAAATATCTTCATATAAAAACTAAACAGAATCATTCTCAGAATCTACTTAGTGATGCGTGCGTTCAACTCACAGAGTTTAACCTTTCTTTTCATAGATCATTTAGGAAACACTCTGTTAATTCTGCAAGTAGATATTTGGACCACTATGAGCCCGTCGTTGGAAAGGGGATTTCTTCATATACTCCTAGACAGAACAATTCTCTCTAACTTCTTTCTGTTGCTTTTATTCAACTCACAGACTTGAGCCTTTCTTCAGACAGAGCAGATTTGAAACTCTCTTTTTTTTGGAATTTGCACGTGCAAATTTCAAGTGCTTCTAGGCCTATGGCAGAAAAGGAAGTATCTTAGTATAAAAACTACACAGAATCATTCTCAAGAACTACATTGTGATGTGTGCGTTCAACTCACACAGTTTTATCTTTCTGTTCATAGAGCAGTTTGGGAACACTCTGTTTGTAAAGTCTGCAAGTGGATATTTGGACCTCTTTGAGGCCTTCGTTGGAAATGGGATTTCGTCATATAACGCTAGACAGAAGAATTCTCAGTAATTTCTTTGTGTTGTGTGTATTCAACTCACAGAGTTGAACCTTTCTTTAGAGAGAGCAGATTGGAAACACGTTCTGTGGAATTTGCTAGTGCAGATTTCAAACGCTTCGAGGACAATGGTAGAAAAGGATATATCTTCGTATTAAAACGAGACAAAATCATTCTCAGAAAACACTTTGTGATGTGTGCGTTCAACTCACAGAGTTTAACCTTTCTTTTAATGGAGAAGTTTGGAAACACTCTCTTTCTAAAGTCTGCAAGTGGATAATTGGCCCTCTTTGAGCCCTTCATTGGAAACGGGATTTCCCCATATAATGCAAGACAGAAGAATTCTCAGTAACTTCTTTGTGTTGTTTGTATTCAACTCACAGATTTGAACATTCCTTTAGAGAGAGCAGATTTGAAACACCCTTTTTTTGGAATTTGCACGTGCAGATTTCAAGGGCTTGTAGGCCTACAGCAGAACAGGAAATATCTTCGTATAAAAACCACACAGAATCATTCTCAAGAACTACTTTGTGATGTGTGCGTTCAACTCACAGAGTTTAACCTTTCTTTTCATAGAGCAGTTTGGAAACACTCTGTTTGTAAAGTCTGCATGTGCATATTTGGACATCTTTGAGGCCTTCGTTGGAAACGAGATTTCTTCATATATTGCTAGACAGAAGAATTCTCAGTAACTTCTTTGTGTTGTGTGTATTCAAGTCACAGAGTTGAACCTTCCTTTATTCAGAGCAGTTTTGAAACACTCTTTTTGTGGAATTTGCAAGTGGAGATTTCAAGCGATTTGATGCCAATCTTAGACATTGAAATATCTTCGTACTAAAACTACACAGAGTCATTCACAGACACTAGTTTGTGATGTGTGCTTAGAACTCACAGAGTTTAACCATCCTTTTTTTTTTTCTTTTTTTTTTTGAGACGGACTCTCACTCTGTCGCCCAGGCTGGAGTCCAGTGGTGGGATATCGGCTCACTGCAAGCTCCACCTCCCGGGGTCTCGCCACTCTCCTGCCTCAGCCTCCCAAGTAGCTGGGACTACAGGCGCCCGCCACTACGCCCGGCTAATTTTTTGTATTTTTAGTAGAGACGGGTTTCACCGTTTTAGCCGGGATGGTCTCGATCATCTGACATCGTGATCCGCCCGCCTCGGCCTCCCAAAGTGCTGGGATTACAGGCGTGAGCCGCCGCGCCCGGCCAACCTTTCTTTTCATGGAGCAGTTTGGAAACACTCTATTTCTAAAGTGTGCAAGTGGATATTTGGACCTCTTTGAGCCCTTCGTTGGAAACGGGATTTACTCATATAATGCTAGAGAGAAGAATTCTCAGTAACTTCTTTGTGTTGTTTCAATTCAACTCAATGATTTGAACCTTCCTTTAGATAGAACAGATTTGAAACACTCTTTTTTTGGAATTTGCAACTGGAAATTTCAAGCGATTTGACGCCAATCTTAGACATGGAAATATCTTCGTATTAAAACTACACAGAGTCATTCGCAGAAACTGGTTTGTGATGTACGCGTTCAACTCACAGAGTTTAACCTTTCTTTTCATAGAGCAGTTTGGAAACACTCTGTTTGTAAAGTCTGCAGGTGCTTATTTGGACTTCTTTGAGGCCTTCGTTGGAAACGGGATTTCTTCATACAATGCTAGACAGAAGAATTCTCAGTCACTTCTTTGTGTTGTGTGTATTCAAGTCACAGAGTTGAAACTTCCTTTAGACCGAGCAGTTTTGAAAAACTCTTTGTGTGGAATTTGCAAGTGGTGATTTCATGCGATTTGAGGCCAATCTTTGAAATGGAAATATCTTCGTGTACAAACTACACAGAATCATTCTCAGAAACTGCTTTGTTATGTGTGCGTTCAACTCACAGAGTTTCACCTTTCTTTTCATTGAGCAGTTTGGAAAGACTCTGTCTGTAAAGTCTGCAAGTGAATACTTGGATTCCTTGGAGGCATTCGTTGGAAGCTTGATTTTTTCACTTACTGCTAGACAGAAGAATTCTCAGTAAATCCTTTGTGTTGTGTGTATTCAACTCACAGCGTTGAACCTTTCTTTAGAGAGAGCAGAGTTGAAACACTCTTTTTGTGGAATTTGCTAGTGCAGATTTCAAACGCTTCGAAGACAATGATAGAAAAGGATATATCTTCGTATTAAAACTAGACAAAATCATTCTCAGAAAACACTTTGTGATGAGTGTGTTCAACTCACAGAGTTTAACCTTTCTTTAATTGAGCAGTTTGGAAATACACTCTTTGTAAGTCTGCAAGTGGATAATTGGCCCTCTTTGAGCCCTTCGTTGGAAACGGGATTTCCTCATACAGTGCTAGACAGAAGAATTCTCAGTAACTTCTTTGTGTTGTTTGTATTCAACTCACAGATTTAAACCTTCCTTTAGAGAGAGCAGATTTTAAACACTCTGTTTGTGGAATTTGCAAGTGCAGATTTCAAGCGCTTCTAGGCCTATGGCAGAAAAGGAAATATCTTCGTATAAAAACTACACAGAATCATTCTCAACAACTACTTTGTGACGTGCACGTTCAACTCACAGAGTTTAAGCTTTCTTTTCATAGAGCACTTTGGAAACACTAAGTTTGTAAAGTCTGCAGGTGCTTATTTAGACTTCTTTGAGGCCTTCGTTGGAAACGGGATTTCTTCATATAATGCTAAACAGAAGAATTCTCAGTCACTTCTTTGTGTTGTGTGTATTCAAGTCACAGAGTTGAACATTCCTTTACACAGAGCAGTTTTGAAAAACTCTTTCTGTGGAATTTGCAAGTGGAGATTTCAAGCGATTTGAGGCCAATCTTTGAAATGGAAATATCTTCGTGTAAAAACTACACAGAATCATTCTCAGAAACTGCTTTGTTATGTGTGCGTTCAGCTCACAGAGTTCCACCTTTCTTTTCATAGAGCAGTTTGGAAAGACTCTGTCTGTAAAGTCTGCAAGTGATTACTTGGACCCCTTTGAGGACTTCGTTGGAAGCGGGGTTTTTTCATTTACTGCTATACAGAAGAATTCTCGGTAAATCCTTTGTGTTGTGTGTATTCAACTCACAGAGTTGAACCTTCCTTTATTCAGAGCAGTTTTGAAACACTCTTTTTGTGGAATTTGCAAGTGGAGATTTCAAGCGATTTCACTCCACTCTTAGACATGGAAATATCTTCGTATTAAAACTACACAGAGTCATTCGCAGAAACTAGATTGTGATGTGTGCCTTCAATTCACAGAGTTTAACTTTCTTTTCATAGAGCAGTTTGGAAACACTGTAGTTGTAAAGTCTTCAAGTGGATATTTCGAACTCTTTGAGGCCTTCATTGGAAACGGGATTTCTTCATATAACGCTAGACAGAAGAATTCTCAGTAACTTCTTTGTGATGTGTGTATCCAACTCACAGGGTTGAACCTTTCTTTAGAGAGAGCAGATTTGATACACTCTTTTTCTGTAATTTGGTAGTGCAGATTTCAAACGCTTCGAAGACAATGATAGAAAAGGATATATCTTCGTATTAAAACTAGACAAAATCATTCTCAGAAAACACTTTGTGATGTGTGTGTTCAACTCACAGAATTTAAACGTTCTTTAATCGAGCAGTTTGGAAACACAATCTTTGTAAGTCTGCAGGTGGATAATTGGCCCTCTTTGAGCCCTTCGTTGGAAACGGGATTTCCTCATATAATGCTAGACAGAAGAATTCTCAGTAACTTCTTTGTGTTGTTTGTATTCAACTCACAGATTTGAACCTTCCTTTAGAGAGAGCAGATTTGAAACACTCTGTTTTTGGAATTTGCAAGTGCAGATTTCAAGCGCTTATAGGCCTATGGCAGAAAAGGAAATATCTTCGTATAAAAACTACACAGAATCATTCTCAACAACTACTTTGTGATGTCTGCGTTCAACTCACAGAGTTTAACCTTTCTTTTCATAGAGCAGTTTGGAAACACTCTGTTTGTAAAGTCTGCAGGTGCTTATTTGGACTTCTTTGAGGCCTTCGTTGGAAACGGGATTTCTTCATATAATGTTAGACAGAAGAATTCTCAGTCACTTCTTTGTGTTGAGGTATTCAAGTCACAGAGTTGAACCTTCCTTTAGACAGAGCAGTTTTGGAAAACTCTTTCTGTGGAATTTGCAATTGGAGATTTCAAGCGATTTGAGGCTAATCTTTGAAATGGAAATATCTTCGTGTAAAAACTACACAGAATCATTCTCAGAAACTGCTTTGTTATGTGTGCGTTCACCTCACAGAGTTTCACCTTTCTTTTCATAGAGCTGTTTGGAAAGAATCTGTCTGTAAAGTCTTCAAGTGATTAGTTAGACCCCGTTGAGGCCTTCGTTGGAAGAAGGATTTCTCATTTACTGTTAACAGAAGAATTCTCAGTAAATCCTTTCTGTTGTGTGTATTCAATTCACAGAGTTGAACCTTCCTTTATTCAGAGCAGTTTTGAAACGCTCTTTTTGAGGAATTTGCAAGTGGAGATTTCAAGCGATTTGACGCCAATCTTACACATGGAAATATCTTCGTATTAAAAGAACACAGACTCATTCGCAGAAACAAATTTGTGATGTGTGCCTTCAACTCACAGAGTTTAACCTTTCTTTTTATAGAGCAGTTCGGAAACACTCTATTTGTAAAGTCCGCAAGTGGATATTTGGACCTCTTTGAGGCCTTCGTTGGAAACGGGATTTCTTCATATAACGCTAGACAGAAGAATTCTCAGTAACTTCTTTGTGTTGTGTGTATTCAACTCACAGAGTTGAACCTTTCTTTAGAGGGAGCAGGGGTGAAACACTCTTTTTGTGGAATTTGCTAGTGCAGATTTCAAACGCTTCGAAGACAGTGATAGAAAAGGATATATCTTCGTATAAAAACTAGACAAAATCATTCTCAAAAACCACTTTCTGATGTGTGTGTTCAACTCACAGAGTTTAACCTTTCTTTAATCGAGCAGTTTGGAAATACACTCTTTGTAAGTCTGCAGGTGGATATATGGCCCTCTATGAGCCCTTCGTTGGAAACGGGATTTCCTCATATAATGCTAGACAGAAGAATTCTCAGTAACTTCTTAGTGTTGTTTGTATTCAACTCACAGATTTGAACCTTCCTTTAGAGAGAGCAGATGTGAAACACTCTGTTTTTGGAATTTGCAACTGCAGATTTCAAGCACTTCTAGGCCTATGGCAGAAAAGGAAATATCTTCTTATAAAAACTACACAGAATCATTCTCAACAACTACTATGTGATGTGTGCGTTCAACTCACAGAGTTTAACCTTTCTTTTCATAGAGCAGTTTGGAAACACTCTGTTTGTAAAGCCTGCAAGTGCATTTTTTGGACTTCATTGAGACCTTCGTTGGAAACGGGATTTCTTCACATAATGCTAGACAGAAGAATTCTCAGTCACTTCTTTGTGTTGTGTGTATTCAAGTCACAGAGTTCAACCTTCCTTTAGACAGAGCAGTTTTGAAAAACTCTTTCTGTGGAATTTGCAAGTGGAGATTTCAAGCGATTTGAGGCTAATCTTTGAAATGGAAATATCTTCGTGTAAAAACTACACAGAATCATTCTCAGTAACTGCTTTGTTATGTGTGCGTTCAGCTCACAGAGTTCCACCTTTCTTTTCATAGAGCAGTTTGGAAAGTCTCTGTCTGTAAAGTCTGCAATTGATTACTTGGACCCCTTTGAGGACTTCGATGGAAGCGGGATTTTTTCATTTACTGCTAGACAGAACAATTCTCATTAAATCCTTTGTGTTGTGTGTATTCAACTCACAGAGTGGAACCTTCCTTTATTCAGAGCAGTTTTGAAACACCCTTTTTGTGGAATTTGCAAGTGGAGATTTCAAGCGATTTCACGCCAATCTTAGACATGGAAATATCTTCGTCTTAAAAGTACACAGAGTCATTCGCAGAAACCAGATTGTCATGTGTGCCTTCAATTCACAGAGTTTAACTTGCTTTTCATAGAGCAGTTTGGAAACACTCTATTTGTAAAGTCTGCAAGTGGATATTTCTACCTCTTTGAGGCCTTCATTGGAAACGGGATTTCTTCATATAACGCTAGACAGAAGAATTCTGAGTAACTTCTTTGTGTTGTGTGTATTCAACTCACAGAGTTGAACCTTTCTTTAGAGAGAGCAGATTTGAAACACTCTTTTTGTGGAATTTGCTAGTGCAGATTTCAAACGCTTCGAAGACAATGATAGAAAAGGTTATATCTTCGTATTAAAACTAGACAAAATCATTCTCAGAAAACACTTTGTGATGTGTGTGTTCAACTCACAGAGTTTAACCTTTCTTTAATTGAGCAGTTTGGAAACACACTCTTTGTAAGTCTGCAAGTGGATAATTGGCCCTCTTTGAGCCCTTCGTTGGAAATGGGATTTCCTCATTTTGTGCTAGACAGAAGAATTCTCAGTAACTTCTTTGTGTTGTTTGTATTCAACTCACAGATTTGAACCTTTCTTTAGATAGAGCAGATTTGAAACACTCTGTTTTTGGAATTTGCAAGGGCAGATTTCAAGCGCTTCTAGGCCTATGGCAGAAAAGGAAATATCTTCGTATAAAAACAACACAGAATCATTCTCAACAACTACTTTGTGATGTGCGCGTTCAACTCACAGACTTTAACCTTTCTTTTCATAGAGCAGTTTGGAAACACTCTGTTTGTAAAGTCTGCAGGTGCTTATTTGGACTTCTTTGAGGCCTTCGTTGGATAGGGGATTTCTTCATATAATGCTAGACAGAAGAATTCTCAGTCACTTCTTTGTGTTGTGGTATTCAAGTCACAGAGTTGAAACTTCCTTTAGACCGAGCAGTTTTGATAAACTCTTTCTGTGGAATTTGCAAGTGAAGATTTCAAGCGATTTGAGGCTAATCTTTGAAATGGAAATATCTTCGTGTAAAAACTACACAGAATCATTCTCAGAAACTGCTTTGTTATCTGTGCGTTCAGTTCACAGAGTTTCACCTTTCTCTTCATAGAGCAGTTTGGAAAGACTCTGTCAGTAAAGTCTGCAAGTGATTACTTGGACCCCTTTGTGGACTTCGTTTGAAGCGGGATTTTTTCATTTACTGCTAGACAGAAGAATTCTCAGTAAATCCTTTGTGTTGTGTTTATTCAACTCACAGAGTTGAACCTTCCTTTATTCAGAGCAGTTTTGAAACACTCTTTTCGTGGAATTTGCAAGTGGAGACTTCAAGCGATTTGATGCCAATCTTAGACATGGAAATATCTTCGTATTAAAACTACACAGAGTCATTCGCAGAAACTAGTTTGTGATGTGTGCCTTCAATTCACAGAGTTTAACTTTCTTATCATAGAGCAGTTTGGAAACACTCTATTTGTAAAGTCTGCAAGTGGATATTTCGACATCTTTGAGGCCTACGTTGGAAACGGGATTTCTTCATATAACGCTAGACAGAAGAATTCTCAGTAACTTCTTTGTGTTGTGTGTATTCAACTCACAGAGTTGAACCTTTCTTTAGAGAGAGCAGATTTGAAACACTCTTTTTGTGGAATTTGCTAGTGCAGATTTAAGACGCTTCGAAGACAGTGATAGAAAAGGATATATCTTCGTATTAAAACTAGAAAAAATCATTCTCATAAACCACTTTCTGATGTGTGTGTTCAACTCACAGAGTTTAACCTTTCTTTAATCGAGTAGTTTGGAAATACAATCTTTGAAAGTCTGCAAGTGGATAATTGGCCCTCTTTGAACCCTTCGTTGTAAACGGGATTTCCTCATATAATGCTAGACAGAAGAATTCTCAGTAACTTCTTTGTGTTGTTTGTATTCAACTCACAGATTTGAACCTTCGTTTAGAGAGAGCATGTTTCAAACACTCTTTTTTTGGAATTTGCAAGTGCAGATTTCAAGCTCTTCTAGGCCTATGGCAGAAAAGGGAATATCTTCGTATAAAAACTACACAGAATCATTCTCAACAACTACTTTGTGATGTGTGTGTTCAACTCACAGAGTTTAACCTTTCTTTTCATAGAGCAGTTTGGAAACACTCTGTTTGTAAAGTCTGCAGGTGCTTATTTGGACTTCTTTGAGGCCTTCGTTGGAAACGGGATTTCTTCATATAATGCTAGACAGAAGAATTCTCAGTCACTTCTTTGCGTTGCATGTATTCAAGTCACAGAGTTGAACCTTCCTTTAGACAGAGCAGTTTTGAAAAACTCTTTCTGTGGAATTTGCAAGTGGAGATTTCAAGCGATTTGAGGCTAATCTTTGAAATGGAAATATCTTCGTGTAAAAACTACACAGAATCATTCTCAGAAACTGCTTCATTATGTGTGCGTTCAGCTCACAGAGTTCCACCTTTCTTTTCATAGAGCAGTTTGGAAAGACTCTGTCTGTAAAGTCTGCAAGTGATTACTTGGACCCCTTTGAGGACTTCCTTTGAAGCGGGATTTTTTCATTTACTGCTAGACAGAAGAATTCTCAGTAAATCCTTAGTGTTGTGTGTTTTCAACTCACAGAGTTGAACCTTCCTTTATTCAGAGCAGTTTTGAAACACTCTTTTTGTGGAATTTGCAAGTGGAGATTTCAAGCGATTTCACGCGAATCTTAGACATGGAAATATCTTCGTATTAAAAGTACACAGAGTCATTCGCAAAAACTAGATTGTGATGTGTGCCTTCAATTCACAGGGTTTAACTCTCTTTTCATAGAGCAGTTTGGAAAGACTCTGCCTGTAAAGTCTACAAGTGATTACTTGGACCCCTTTGAGAACTTCGTTGGAAGCGGGATTTTTTCATTTACTGCTAAACAGAAGAATTCTCAGTAAATCCTTTGTGTTGTGTGTATTCAACTCACAGAGTTGAACCTTCCTTTATTCAGAGCAGTTTTGAAACACTCTTTTCGTGGAATTTGCAAGTGGAGATTTCAAGGGATTTCACGCCAATCTTAGACATGGAAATATCTTCGTATTTAAAGTACACAGAGTCATTCGCAGAAACTAGGTTGTGATGTGTGCCTTCAATTCACAGAGTTTAACCTTTCTTTAATCGAGCAGTTTGGAAATACAATCTTTGAAAGTCTGCAGGTAGATAATTGGCCCTCTAGGAGCCCTTCGTTGGAAATGGGATTTCCTCATATAATGCTAGATAGAAGAATTCTCAGTAACTTCTTTGTGTTGTTTGTATTCAACTCACAGATTTGAACCTTCCTTTAAAGAGAGCAGATTTGAAACACCCTGTTTTTGGCATTTGCAAGTGCAGATTTCAAGCGCTTCTAGGCCTATGGCAGAAAAGGAAATATCTTCGTATAAAAACTACACAGACTCATTCTCAACAACTACTTTGTGATGTGTGGGTTCAACTCACAGAGTTTAACTTTTCTTTTCATAGAGCAGTTTGGAAACACTCTGTTTGTAAAGCCTACAAGTGCTTTTTTGGACTTCATTGAGGCCTTCGTTGGAAACGGGGTTTCTTCATATAATGCTAGACAGAAGAATTCTCAGTCACTTCTTTGTGTTGTGGTATTCAAGTCACAGAGTTGAAACTTCCTTTAGACCGAGCAGTTTTGAAAAACATTTTCTGTGGAATTTGCAAGTGGAGATTTCAAGCGATTTGAGGCCAATCCTTGAAATGGAAATATCTTCGTGTAAAAACTACACAGAATCATTCTCAGAAACTGCTTTGTTATGTGTGCACTCAACTGACAGATTTTCGCCTTTCTTTTCATACAGCAGTTTGGAAAGACTCTGTCTGTAAAGTCTGCAAGTGCATACTTGGACCCTTTGAGGCCTTCGTTGGAAGCGGGATTTTTTCACTTACTGCTAGACGGAAGAATTCTCAGTAAATCCTTTGTGTTGTGTGTATTCAACTCACTGAGTTGAACCTTCCTTTATTCAGAGCAGTTTGGAAACACTCTTTGTGGAATTTGCAAGTGGAGATTTCAAGCGATTTGACGCCAATCTTAGACATGGAAATATCTTCATATTAAAACTACCCAGAGTCATTCGCAGAAACTGGTTTGTGATGTGTGCCTTCAACTCACAGAGTTTAACCTTTCTTTTCATAGAGCAGTTTGGAAACACTCTATTTGTAAAGTCTGGAAGTGGATATTTGGACTTCTTTGCGACCTTCGTTGGAAACGGGATTTCTTCATATAACGCTAGACAGAAGAATTCTCAGTAACTTCTTTGTATTGTGTGTATTCAACTCACAGAGTTGAACCTTTCTTTAGAGAGAGCAGAGTTGAAACACTCTTTTTGTGGAATTTGCTAGTGCAGATTTCAAACGTTTCGAAGACAATGATAGAAAAGGATATATCTGCGTATTAAAACTAGACAACATCATTCTCAGAAAACACTTTGTGATCTGTGTGTTCAACTCACAGAGTTTAACCTTTCCTTAATTGAGCAGTTTGGAAATACCCTCTTTGTAAGTCTGCAAGTGGATAATTGGCCCTCTTTGAGCCCTTCGTTGGAAACGGGATTTCCTCATATAGTGCTAGACAGAAGAATTCTCAGTAACTTCTTTCTGTTGTTTGTATTCAACTCACAGATTTGAACCTTCCTTTAGAGAGAGCAGATTGCACACACTCTGTTTTTGGAATTTGCAAGTGCAGATTTCAAGCGCTTCTAGGCCTATGGCAGAAAAGGGAATATCTTCGTATAAAAACTACACAGAATCATTCTCAACAACTACTTTGTGATGTGCGCGTTCAACTCACAGAGTTTAACCTTTCTTTTCATAGAGCAGTTTGGAAACACTCTGTTTGTAAAGTCTGCAGGTGCTTATTTGGACTTCTTTGAGGCCTTCGTTGGAAACGGGATTTCTTCATATAATGCTAGACAGAAGAATTCTCAGTCACTTCTTTGTGTTGTGGTATTCAAGTCACGGAGATGAACCTTCCTTTAGACAGAGCAGTTTAGAGAAACTCTTTCTGTGGAATTTGCAAGTGGAGATTTCAAGCGATTTGAGGCTAATCTTTGAAATGGAAATATCTTCGTGTAAAAACTACACAGAATCATTCTCAGAATCTGCTTTGTTATGTGTGCGTTCAGCTCACAGAGTTCCACCTTTCTTTTCATAGAGCAGTTTGGAGAGTCTCTGTCTGTCAAGTCTGCAAGTGATTACTTGGACCCCTTTGAGGAATTCGTTGGAAGCGGGATTTTTTCATTTACTGCTAGACAGAAGAATTCTCAGTAAATCCTTTGTGTTGTGTGTATTCAACTCACAGAGTTGAACCTTTCTTTAGAGAGAGCAGATTTGAAACACTCTTTTTGTGGAATTTGCTAGTGCAGATTTCAAACGCTTCGAAGACAATGATAGAAAAGGACATATCTTCGTATTAAAACTAGACAAAATCATTCTCAGAAAACACTTTGTGATGTGTGTGTTCAACTCACAGAGTTTAACCTTTCTTTAATCGAGCAGTTTGGAAATACACTCTTTGTAAAGTCTGCAAGTGGATAATTGGCACTCTTTGAGCCCTTCGTTGGAAACGGGATTTCCTCATATAGTGCTAGACAGAAGAATTCTCAGTAACTTCTTTGTGTTGTTTGTATTCAACTCACAGATTTGGACCTTCCTTTAGAGAGGGCAGATTTGAAACACTCTGTTCTTGGAATTTGCAAGTGGAGATTTCAAGGGCTTCTGGGCCTATGGCAGAAAAGGAAATATCTTCGTATAAAAACTACACAGAATCATTCTCAACAACTACTTTGTGAAGTGCGCGTTCAACTCACAGAGTTTAACCTTTCGTTTCATAGAGCAGTTTGGAAACACTCTGTTTGTAAAGTCTGCAGGTGCTTATTTGGACTTCTTTGAGGCCTTCGTTGGAAACGGGATTTCTTCATATAATGCTAGACAGAAGAATTCTCAGTCACTTCTTTGTGTTGTGTGTATTCAAGTCACACAGTTGAACCTTCCTTTACACAGAGCAGTTTTGAAAAACTCTTTCTGTGGAATTTGCAAGTGGAGATTTCAAGCGATTTGAAGCTAATCTTTGAAATGGAAATATCTTCGTGTAAAAACTACACAGAATCTTTCTTAGTAACTGCTTTGTTATGTGTGCGTTCAGCTCACAGAGTTCCACCTTTCTTTTCATAGAGCAGTTTGGAAAGACTCTGTCTGTGAAGTCTGCAAGTGATTACTTGGACCCCTTTGAGGACTTCGTTGGAAGAGGAATTTTTTCATTTACTGCTAGACAGAAGAATTCTCAGTAAATCCTTTGTGTTGTGTGTATTCAATTCACAGAGTTGAACCTTCCTTTATTCAGAGCAGTTTTGAAACACTCTTTTTGAGGAATTTGCAAGTGGAGATTTCAAGCGATTTCACGCCAATCTTAGACATGGAAATATCTTCGTATTTAAAGTACACAGAGTCATTCGCAGAAACTAGATTGTGATGTGTGCCTTCAATTCACAGAGTTTACCTTTCTTTTCATAGAGCAGTTTGGAAACACTCTATTTGTAAAGTCTGCAAGTGGATATTTCGACCTCTTTGAGGCCTTCATTGGAAACGGGATTTCTTCATACAACGCTACACAGAAGAATTCTCAGTAACTTCTTTGTGTTGTGTGTATACAACTCACAGAGTTGAACCTTTCTTTAGAGAGAGCAGATTTGAAACACTCTTTTTGTGGAATTTGCTAGTGCAGATTTCAAACGCTTCGAAGACAATGATAGAAAAGGATATATCTTCGTATTAAAACTAGACAAAATCATTCTCAGAAAACACTTTGTGATGTGTGTGTTCAACTCATAGAGTTTAACCTTTCTTTAATTGAGCAGTTTGGAAATACACTCTTTGTAAGTCTGCAAGTGGATAATTGGCCCTCTTTGAGCCCTTCGTTGGAAACGGGATTTCCTCATATAATGCTAGACAGAAGAATTCTCAGTAACTTCTTTGTGTTGTTTGTATTCAACTCACAGATTTGAACCTTCCTTTAGAGAGAACAGATTTCAAACACTCTTTTTTTGGAATTTGCAAGTGCAGATTTCAAGCGCTTCTAGGCCTATGGCAGAAAAGGGAATATCGTCTTATAAAAACTACACAGAATCATTCTCGAAAACTACTTTGTGATGTTTGCGTTCATCTCACAGAGTTTAACCTTTCTTTTCATAGAGCAGTTTGGAAACACTCTGTTTGTAAAGTCTGCAGGTGCTTATTTGGACTTCTTTGAGGCCTTAATTGGAAACGGGATTTCTTCATATACTGCTAGACAGAAGAATTCTCAGTCACTTCTTTGTGTTGTGGTATTCAAGTCACAGAGTGGAAACTTCCTTTAGACCGAGTAGTTTTGAAAAACTCTTTCTGTGGAATTTGCAAGTGGAGATTTCAAGCAATTTGACGCCAATCTTTGAAATGGAAATATCTTCGTGTAAAAACTACACAGAATCATTCTCAGAAACTGCTTTGTTATGTGTGCGTTCAACTCACAGAGTTTCACCTTTCTTTTCATACAGCAGTTTGGAAAGACTCTGTCTGTAAAGTCTGCAAGTCAATACTTGGATTCCTTGGAGGCCTTTGTTGGAAGCTTGATTTTTTCACTTACTGCTAGACAGAAGAATCCTCAGTAAATCCTTTGTGTTGTGTGTATTCAACTCACAGAGTTGAACCTTCCTTTATTCAGAGCAGTTTGGAAACACTCTTTGTGGAATTTGCCAGTGGAGATTTTCAGCGATTTGACGCCAATCTTAGACATGGGAATATCTCCGTATTAAACTACACAGAGTCATTCGCAGAAACTGGTTTGTGATGTGT
>NC_000010.11:39590435-39593013 GCF_000001405.40 Homo sapiens
GAAACACCCTGTTTGTAAAGTCTGCAGGTGCTTATTTGGACTTCTTTGAGGCCTTAGTTGGAAACGGGATTTCTTCATATAATGCTAGACAGAAGAATTCACAGTCACTTCTTTGTGTTGTGGTATTCAAGTCGCAGAGTTGAAACTTCCTTTAGACCGAGTAGTTTTGAAAAACTCTTTCTGTGGAATTTGCAAGTGGAGATTTCAAGCAATTTGTGGCCAATCTTTGAAATGGAAATATCTTCGTGTAAAAACTACACAGAATCATTCTCAGAAACTGCTTTGTTATGTGTGCGTTCAACTCACAGAGTTTCACCTTTCTTTTCATACAGCAGTTTGGAAAGACTCTGTCTGTAAAGTCTGCAAGTGAATACTTGGACCCCTTTGAGGCCTTCGTTGGAAGCGGGATTTTTTCATTTACTGCTAGACAGAAGAATTCTCAGTAAATCCTTTGTGTTGTGTGTATTCAACTCACAGAGTTGAACTTTCCTTTATTCAGAGCAGTTTTGAAACACTCTTTTTGTGGAATTTGCAAGTGGACATTTGAAGAGATTTCACACCAATCTTAGACGTGGAAATATCTTCGTATTTAAAGTACCCAGAGTCATTCGCAGAAACTAGATTGTGATGTGTGCCTTCAATTCACAGAATTTAACTTTCTTTTCATAGAGCAGTTTGGAAACACTCTATTTGTAAAGTCTGCAAGTGGATATTTCGACCTCTTTGAGGCCTTCATTGGAAACGGGATTTCTTCATATAACGCTAGACAGAAGAATTCTCAGTAACTTCTTTGTGTTGTGTGTATTCAACTCACAGAGTTGAACCTTTCTTTAGAGAGATCAGATTTGAAACACTCTTTTTGTGGAATTTGCTAGTGCAGATTTCAAACGCTTCGAAGACAATGATAGACAAGGATATAACTTCGTATTAAAACTAGACAAAATCATTCTCAGAAAACACTTTGTGATGTGTGTGTTCAACTCACAGAGTTTAACCTTTCTTTAATCGAGCAGTTTGGAAATACCCTCTTTGTAAAGTCTGCAAGTGGATAATTGTCCCTCTTTGAGACCTTCTTTGGAAACGGGATTTCCTCATATAGTGCTAGACAGAAGAATTCTCAGTAATTTCTTTGTGTTGGTTGTATTCAACTCACAGATTTGAACCTTCCTTTAGAGAGAGCAGATTTCAAACACTCTTTTTTTGGAATTTGCAAGTGCACATTTCAAGCGCTTCTAGGCCTATGGCAGAAAAGGGAATATCGTCGTATAAAAACTACACAGAATCGTTCTCAAAAACTACTTTGTGATGTGTGCGTTCAACTCACACAGTTTAACCTTTCTTTTCATAGAGCAGTTTGGAAACACTCTGTTTGTAAAGTCTGCAGGTGCTTATTTGGACTTCTTTGAGGCCTTCATTGGAAACGGGATTTCTTCATATAATGCTAGACAGAAGAATTCTCAGTCACTTCTTTGTGTTGTGGTATTCAAGTCACAGAGTGGAAACTTCCTTTAGACCGAGTAGTTTTGAAAAACTCTTTCTGTGGAATTTGCAAGTGGAGATTTCAAGCAATTTGACGCCAATCTTTGAAATGGAAATATCTTCGTGTAAAAACTACACAGAATCATTCTCAGAAACTGCTTTGTTATGTGTGCGTTCAACTCACAGAGTTTCACCTTTCTTTTCATACAGCAGTTTGGAAAGACTCTGTCTGTAAAGTCTGCAAGTCAATACTTGGATTCCTTGGAGGCCTTCGTTGGAAGCTTGATTTTTTCACTTACTGCTAGACAGAAGAATCCTCAGTAAATCCTTTGTGTTGTGTGTATTCAACTCACAGAGTTGAACCTTCCTTTATTCAGAGCAGTTTGGAAACACTCTTTGTGGAATTTGCCAGTGGAGATTTCAAGCGATTTGACGCCAATCTTAGACATGGAAATATCTTCGTATTAAAACTACACAGAGTCATTCGCAGAAACTGGTTTGTGATGTGTGCCTTCAACTCACAGAGTTTAACCATTCTTTTCATACAGCAGTTTGGAAACACTCTATTTGTAAAGTCGGCAAGTGGATATTTGGACCTCTTTGAGGCCTTCCTTGGAAACGGGATTTCTTCATATAACGCTAGACAGAAGAATTCTCAGTAACTTCTTTGTGTTGTGTGTATTCCACTCACAGAGTTGAACCTTTCTTGAGAGAGAGCAGATTTGAAACACTCTTTTTCTGGAATTTGCTAGTGCAGATTTCAAACGCTTGGAAGACAATGATAGAAAAGGATATATCTTCGTATTAAAACTAGACAAAATCATTCTCAGAAAACACTTTGTGATGTGTGTGTTCAACTCACAGAGTTTAACCTTTCTTTAATCGAGCAGTTTGGAAATACACTCTTTGTAAAGTCTGCAAGTGGATAATTGGCCCTCTTTGAGCCCTTTGTTGGAAACGGGATTTCCACATATAGTGCTAGACAGAAGAATTCTCATTAACTTCTTTGTGTTGTTTGTATTCAACTCACAGATTTGAACCTCCTTTAGAGAGAGCAGATTTCAAACACTCTGTTCTTGGAATTTGCAAGTGCAGATTT
>NC_000010.11:39597435-39598812 GCF_000001405.40 Homo sapiens
ATAGAAAAGGATATATCTTCGATATTAAAACTAGACAAAATCATTCTCAGAAAACACTTTGTGATGTGTGTGTTCAACTCACAGAGTTTAACCTTTCTTTAATCGAGCAGTTTGGAAATACACTCTTTGTAAAGTCTGCAAGTGGATAATTGGCCCTCTTTGAGCCCTTCGTTGGAAACGGGATTTCCTCTTATAATGCTAGACAGAAGAATTCTCATTAACTTCTTTGTGTTGTTTGTATTCAACTCACAGATTTGAACCTTCCTTTAGAGAGAGCAGATTTCAAACACTCTTTTTTTGGAATTTGCAAGTGCAGATTTCAAGCGCTTCTAGGCCTATGGCAGAAAAGGGAATATCGTCGTATGAAAACTACACAGAATCATTCTCAAAAACTACTTTGTGATGTGCGCGTTCAACTCACAGAGTTTAAGCTTTCTTTTCATAGAGCAGTTTGGAAACACTCTGTTTGTAAAGTCTGCAGGTGCTTATTTGGACTTCTTTGAGGCCTTCGTTGGAAACGGGATTTCTTCATATAATGCTAGACAGAAGAATTCTCAGTCACTTCTTTGTGTTGTGTGTATTCAAGTCACAGAGTTGAACCTTCCTTTAGACAGAGTAGTTTTGAAAAACTCTTTCTGTGGAATTTGCAAGTGGAGATTTCAAGCGATTTGAGGCCAATCTTTGTAATGGAAACATCTTCGTATAAAAACTACACAGAATCATTCTCAGAAACTGCTTTGTTATGTGTGCGTTCAACTCACAGAGTTTCACCTTTCCTTTCATAGAGCAGTTTGGAAAGACTCTGTCTGTAAACTCTGCAAGTGAATACTTGGACCCCTTTGAGGACTTCGTTGGAAGCTTCATTTTTTCACTTACTGCTAGACAGAAGAATTCTCAGTAAATCCTTTGTGTTATGTGTATTCAACTCACAGAGTTGAACCTTCCTTTATTCAGAGCAGTTTTGAAACACTCTTTTTGTGGAATTTGCAAGTGGAGATTTCAAGCGATTTGACGCCAATTTAGACATGGAAATATCTTCGTATTAAAAGTACACAGAGTCATTCGCAGAAACTAGTTTGTGATGTGTGAGTTCAATTCACAGAGTTTAATCTTTCTTTTCATAGAGCAGTTTGGAAACACTCTATTTGTAAAGTCTGCAAGTGGATATTTGGACCTCTTTGACGCCTTCTTTGGAAACGGGATTTCTTCGTATAACGCTAGACAGAAGAATTCTCAGTAACTTCTTTGTGTTGTGTGTATTCAACTCACAGAGTTGAACCTTTCTCTAGAGAGAGCAGATTTGAAACACTCTTTTTGTGGAATTTGCTAGTGCAGATTTCAAACGCTTCGAAGACAATGATAGAAAAGGATATATCT
>NC_000010.11:39598832-39602699 GCF_000001405.40 Homo sapiens
TTCTTTAATTGAGCAGTTTGGAAATACACTCTTTGTAAGTCTGCAGGTGGATAATTGGCCCTCTTTGAGCCCTTCGTTGGAAACGGGATTTCCTCATATAGTGCTAGACAGAAGAATTCTCAGTAACTTCTTTGTGTTGTTTGTATTCAACGCACAGATTTGAACCTTCCTTTAGAGAGGGCAGATTGCAAACACTCTTTTTTTGGAATTTGCAAGTGCAGGTTTCAAGCTCTTCTAGGCGTATGGCAGAAAAGGGAATATCTTCGTATAAAAACTACACAGAATCATTCTCAAAAACTACTTTGTGATGTGCGCGTTCAACTCACAGAGTTTAACCTTTCTTTTCATAGAGCAGTTTGGAAACACTCTGTTTGTAAGTCTGCAGGTGCTTATTTGGACTTCTTTGAGGCCTTCGTTGGAAACGGGATTTCTTCATATAATGCTAGACAGAAGAATTCTCAGTCACTTCTTTGTGTTGTGTGTATTCAAGTCACAGAGTTGAACCTTCCTTTAGACAGAGCAGTTTTGAAAAACTCTTTCTGTGTAATTTGCAAGTGGAGATTTCAAGCGATTTGAGGCTAATCTTTGAAATGGAAATATCTTCGTGTAAAAACTACACAGAATCATTCTCAGAAACTGCTTTGTTATGTGTGCGTTCAGCTCACAGAGTTCCACCTTTCTTTTCATAGAGCACTTTGGAAAGACTCTGTCTGTAAAGTCTGCAAGTGATTACTTGGCCCCCTTTGAGGACTTCGTTGGAAGCGGGATTTTTTCATTTACTGCTAGACAGAAGAATTCTCAGTAAATCCTTTGTGTTGTGTGTATTCAACTCACAGAGTTGAACCTTCCTTTATTCAGAGCAGTTTTGAAACACTCTTTTTGTGGAATTTGCAAGTGGAGATTTCAAGCGAATTCACGCCAATCTTAGACATGGAAATATCTTCGTATTTAAAGTACACAGAGTCATTCGCAGAAACTAGATTGTGATGTGTGCCTTCAATTCACAGAGTTTAACTTTCTTTTCATAGAGCAGTTTGGAAACACTCTATTTGTAAAGTCTGCAAGTGGATATTTCGACCTCTTTGAGGCCTTCATTGGAAACGGGATTTCTTCATATAACACTAGACAGAAGAATTCTCAGTAACTTCTTTGTGTTGTGTGTATTCAACTCACAGAGTTGAACCTTTCTTTGGAGAGAGCAGATCTGAAACACTCATTTTGTGGAATTTGCTAGTGCAGATTTCAAACGCTTCGAAGACAATGATAGAAAAGGATATATCTTCATATTAAAACTAGACAAAACCATTCTCAGAAAACTCTTTGTGATGTGTGTGTTCAACTCACAGAGTTTAACCTTTCTTTAATCGAGCAGTTTGGAAATACACTCTTTGTAAAGTCTGCAAGTGGATAATTGGCCCTCTTTGAGCCCTTCGTTGGAAACGGGATTTCCTCATATAGTGCTAGACAGAAGAATTCTCAATAACTTCTTTGTGTTGTTTGTATTCAACTCACAGATTTGATACTTCCATTAGAGAGAGCAGATTTCAAACACTCTTTTTTTGGAATTTGCAAGTGCTGATTTCAAGCGCTTCTAGGCCTATGGCAGAAAAGGGAATATCTTCGTATAAAAACTACACAGTATCATTCTCAAAAACTACTTTGTGATGTGCGCGTTCAACTCACAGGGTTTAACCTTTGTTTTCATAGAGCAGTTTGGAAACACTCTGTTTGTAAAGTCTGCAGGTGCTTATTTGGACTTCTTTGAGGCCTTCGTTGGAAACGGGATTTCTTCATATAATGCTAGACAGAAGAATTCTCAGTCACTTCTTTGTGTTTTGGTATTCAAGTCACAGAGTGGAAACTTCCTTTAGACCGAGTAGTTTTGAAAAACTCTTTCTGTGGAATTTGCAAGTGGAGATTTCAAGCAATTTGAGGCCAATCTTTGAAATGGAAATATCTTCGTGTAAAAACTACACAGAATCATTCTCAGAAACTGCTTTGTTATGTGTGCGTTCAACTCACAGAGTTTCACCTTTCTTTTCATACAGCAGTTTGGAAAGACTCTGTCTGTAAAGTCTGCAAGTCAATACTTGGATTCCTTTGAGGACTTCGTTGGAAGCTTCATTTTTTCACTTACTGCTAGACAGAAGAATTCTCAGTAAATCCTTTGTGTTATGTGTATTCAACTCACAGAGTTGAACCTTCCTTTATTCAGAGCAGTTTTGAAACACTCTTTTTGTGGAATTTGCAAGTGGAGATTTCAAGCGATTTGACGCCAATTTAGACATGGAAATATCTTCGTATTAAAAGTACACAGAGTCATTCGCAGAAACTAGTTTGTGATGTGTGAGTTCAATTCACAGAGTTTAATCTTTCTTTTCATAGAGCAGTTTGGAAACACTCTATTTGTAAAGTCTGCAAGTGGATATTTGGACCTCTTTGACGCCTTCTTTGGAAACGGGATTTCTTCGTATAACGCTAGACAGAAGAATTCTCAGTAACTTCTTTGTGTTGTGTGTATTCAACTCACAGAGTTGAACCTTTCTCTAGAGAGAGCAGATTTGAAACACTCTTTTTGTGGAATTTGCTAGTGCAGATTTCAAACGCTTCGAAGACAATGATAGAAAAGGATATATCTTCGTATTAAAACTAGACAAAATCATTCTCAGAAAACACTTTGTGATGTGTGTGTTCAACTCATAGAGTTTAACCTTTCTTTAATTGAGCAGTTTGGAAATACACTCTTTGTAAGTCTGCAGGTGGATAATTGGCCCTCTTTGAGCCCTTCGTTGGAAACGGGATTTCCTCATATAGTGCTAGACAGAAGAATTCTCAGTAACTTCTTTGTGTTGTTTGTATTCAAAGCACAGATTTGAACCTTCCTTTAGAGAGGGCAGATTGCAAACACTCTTTTTTTGGAATTTGCAAGTGCAGGTTTCAAGCTCTTCTAGGCGTATGGCAGAAAAGGGAATATCTTCGTATAAAAACTACACAGAATCATTCTCAAAAACTACTTTGTGATGTGCGCGTTCAACTCACAGAGTTTAACCTTTCTTTTCATAGAGCAGTTTGGAAACACTCTGTTTGTAAGTCTGCAGGTGCTTATTTGGACTTCTTTGAGGCCTTCGTTGGAAACGGGATTTCTTCATATAATGCTAGACAGAAGAATTCTCAGTCACTTCTTTGTGTTGTGTGTATTCAAGTCACAGAGTTGAACCTTCCTTTAGACAGAGCAGTTTTGAAAAACTCTTTCTGTGGAATTTGCAAGTGGAGATTTCAAGCAATTTGAGGCCAACCATTGAAATGGAAACATCTTCGTGTAAAAACTACACAGAATCATTCTCAGAAACTGCTTTGTTATGTGTGCGTTCAGCTCACAGAGTTCCACCTTTCTTTTCTTTTTTTTTTTTTTTTCTAGCTCATGTCATTTTAATTATGCTTGAAGATCTCTGGCCTTTGTCACCATTCATTTTTTTTTTTTTTTTTTTTGGTGCTCCAGGTCAGTATTTAATTTTCTGTTAGAAACAACAATCTCCTGGGGGAACCTTCACAAGGAACTGTTTTCCTGCTTTTTGAACTACAAACTTTGTGGTTTACCAGCCACAACTAAAACTTTTTTTTTTTTTATCATTTTTTTTTTATTTATTTTATTTTTTTTATTATACTCTAAGTTTTAGGGTACATGTGCACATTGTGCAGGTTAGTTACCTATGTATACATGTGCCATGCTGGTGCGCTGCACCCACTAATGTGTCATCTAGCATTAGGTATATCTCCCAATACTATCCCTCTCCCCTCCCCCAACCCCACCACAGTCCCCAGAGTGTGATATTCCCCTTCCTGTGTCCATGTGATCTCATTGTCAAT
>NC_000010.11:39606089-39607431 GCF_000001405.40 Homo sapiens
TGTAGCCTTGTAGTATAGTTGAAGTCAGGTATGTGATGCTCCAGCTTTGTCTTTGGCTTAGGATTGACTGGCAATGCGGGCTCTTTTTGGTTCCATATGAACCTTAAAGTAGTTTTTCCCAATTCTGTGAAGAAAGTCATTGGTAGCTTGATGGGGATGGCATTGAATCTGTAAATTACCTTGGGCAGTATGGCCATTTTCACGATATTGATTCTTCCTACCCATGAGCATGGAATGTTCTTCCATTTGTTTGTGTCCTCTTTTATTTCCTTGAGCAGTGGTTTGTAGTTCTCCTTGAAGAGGTCCTTCACATCCCTTGTAAGTTGGATTCCTAGGTATTTTATTCTCTTTGAAGCAATTGTGAATGGGAGTTCACCCATGATTTGGCTCTCTGTTTGTCTGTTGTTGGTGTATAAGAATGCTTGTGATTTTTGTACATTGATTTTGTATCCTGAGACTTTGCTGAAGTTGCTTATCAGCTTAAGGAGATTTTGGGCTGAGACGATGGGGTTTTCTAGATAAACAATCATGTCGTCTGCAAACAGGGACAATTTGACTTCCTCTTTTCCTAATTGAATACCCTTTATTTCCTTCTCCTGCCTGATTGCCCTGGCCAGAACTTCCAACACTATGTTGAATAGGAGCGGTGAGAGAGGGCATCCCTGTCTTGTGCCAGTTTTCAAAGGGAATGCTTCCAGTTTTTGCCCATTCAGTATGATATTGGCTGTGGGTTTGTCATAGATAGCTCTTATTATTTTGAAATACGTCCCATCAATACCTAATTTATTGAGAGTTTTTAGCATGAAGGGTTGTTGAATTTTGTCAAAGGCCTTTTCTGCATCTATTGAGATAATCATGAGGTTTTTGTCTTTGGCTCTGTTTATATGCTGGATTACATTTATTGATTTGCGTATATTGAACCAGCCTTGCATCCCAGGGATGAAGCCCACTTGATCATGGTGGATAAGCTTTTTGATGTGCTGCTGGATTCGGTTTGCCAGTATTTTATTGAGGATTTTTGCATCAATGTTCATCAAGGATATTGGTCTAAAATTCTCTTTTTTGGTTGTGTCTCTGCCTGGCTTTGGTATCAGAATGATGCTGGCCTCATAAAATGAGTTAGGGAGGATTCCCTCTTTTTCTATTGATTGGAATAGTTTCAGAAGGAATGGTACCAGTTCCTCCTTGTACCTCTGGTAGAATTCGGCTGTGAATCCATCTGGTCCTGGACTCTTTTTGGTTGGTAAACTATTGATTATTGCCACAATTTCAGAGCCTGTTATTGGTCTATTCAGAGATTCAACTTCTTCCTGGTTTAGTCTTGGGAGAGTGTATGTGTCGA
>NC_000010.11:39607451-39613189 GCF_000001405.40 Homo sapiens
TTGTTAGTTTTCCTTCTAACAGACAGGACCCTCAGCTGCAGGTCTGTTGGAATACCCTGCCGTGTGAGGTATCAGTGTGCCCCTGCTGGGGGGTGCCTCCCAGTTAGGCTGCTCGGGGGTCAGGGGTCAGGGACCCACTTGAGGAGGCAGTCTGCCCATTCTCAGATCTCCAGCTGCGTGCTGGGAGAACCACTGCTCTCTTCAAAGCTGTCAGACAGGGACACTTAAGTCTGCAGAGGTTACTGCTGTCTTTTTGTTTGTCTGTGCCCTGCCCCCAGAGGTGGAGCCTACAGAGGCAGGCAGGCCCCCTTGAGCTGTGGTGGGCTCCACCCAGTTCGAGCTTCCCGGCTGCTTTGTTTACCTAAGCAAGCCTGGGCAATGGCGGGCGCCCCTCCACCAGCCTCGCTGCCGACTTGCAGTTTGATCTCAGAGTGCTGTGCTAGCAATCAGCGAGATTCCGTGGGCGTAGGACCCTCTGAGCCAGGTGTGGGATATAGTCTCGTGGTGCGCCGTTTCTTAAGCCGGTCTGAAAAGCGCAATAATCGGGTGGGAGTGACCCGATTTTCCAGGTGCGTCCGTCACCCCTGTCTTTGACTCGGAAAGGGAACTCACTGACCCCTTGCGCTTCCCAGGTGAGGCAATGCCTCGCCCTGCTTCGGCTCGCGCACGGTGCGCACACACACTGGTCTGCGCCCACTGTCTGGCACTCCCTAGTGAGATGAACCCGGTACCTCAGATGGAAATGCAGAAATCACCCGTATTCTGCGTCGCTCACGCTGGGAGCTGTAGACCGGAGCTGTTCCTATTCGGCCATCTTGGCTCCTCCTCCCACCTTTCTTTTCATAGAGCAGTTTGGAAAGACTCTGTCTGTAAAGTCTGCAAGTGATTACTTGGACCCCTTTGAGGACTTCGTTGGAAGCGGGATTTTTTCATTTACTGCTAGACAGAAGAATTCTCACTAAATCCTTTCTGTTGTGTGTATTCAACTCACAGAGTTGAACCTTCCTTTATTCAGAGCAGTTTTGAAACACTCTTTTTGTGGAATTTGCAAGTGGAGATTTCAAGCGATTTCACGCCAATCTTAGACATGGAAATATCTTCGTATTAAAAGTACACAGAGTCATTCGCAGAAACTAGTTTGTGATGTGTGCCTTCAATTCACAGAGTTTAACTTTCTTTTCATAGAGCAGTTTGGAAACACTCTATTTGTAAAGTCTGCAAGTGGATATTTCGACCTCTTTGAGGCCTTCATTGGAAACGGGATTTCTTCATATAACGCTAGACAGAAGAATTCTCACTAACTTCTTTGTGCTGTGTGTATTCAACTCACAGAGTTGAACCTTTCTTGAGAGAGAGCAGATTTGAAACAATCTTTTGTGGAATTTGCTAGTGAAGATTTCAAACGCTTCGAACACAATGATAGAAAAGGATATAACTTCGTATTAAAACTAGACAAAATCATTCTCAGAAAACACTTTGTGATGTGTGTGTTCAACTCACAGAGTTTAACCTTTCTTTAATTGAGCAGTTTGGAAATACACTCTTTGTAAATGTGAAAGTGGATAATTGGCCCTTTTTGAGCCCTTCGTTGGAAAAGGGATTTCCTCATATAATGCTAGACAGAAGAATTCTCAGTAACTTCTTTGTGTTGTTTGTATTCAACACACAGATTTGAACCTTCCTTTAGAGAGAGCAGATTTGAAACACTCTTTTTTGGAATTTGCAAGTGCAGATTTCAAGCGATTCTAGGCCTATGGCAGAAAAGGAAATATCTTCGTATAAAAACTACACAGAATCATTCTCAACAACTACTTTGTGATGTGCGCGTTCAACTCACAGACTTTAACCTTTCTTTTCATAGAGCAGTTTGGAAACACTCTGTTTGTAAAGTCTGCAGGTGCTTATTTGGACTTCTTTGAGGCCTTCGTTGGAAACGGGATTTCTTCATATAATGCTAGACAGAAGAATTCTCAGTCACTTCTTTGTGTTGTGTGTATTCAAGTCACAGAGTTGAACCTTCCTTTAGACAGAGCAGTTTTGAAAAACTCTTTCTGTGGATTTTGCAAGTGGTGATTTCATGCGATTTGAAGCCAATCTTTGAAATGGAAATATCTTCGTGTAAAAACTACACAGAATCACTCTCAGAAACTGCTTTGTTATGTGTGCGTTCAACTCACAGAGTTTCACCTTTCTTTTCATAGAGCAGTTTGGAAAGACTCTGTCTGTAAAGTCTGCAAGTGAATACTTGGACCCCTTTGAGGCCTTCGTTGGAACCGGGATTTTTTCACTTACTGCTAGACAGAAGAATTCTCAGTAAATCCTTTTTGTTATGTGTATTCAACTCACAGAGTTGAACCTTCCTTTATTCAGAGAAGTTTTGAAAAACACTTTTTGTGGAATTTGCAAGTGGAGATTTCAAGCGATTTGACGCCAATCTTAGACATGAAAATATCTTCATATTAAAACTACACAGAGTCATTCGCAGAAACTAGTTTGTGATGTGTGCCTTCAACTCACAGAGTTTAAGCTTTCTTTTCATAGAGCAGTTTGGAAACCCTCTATTTGCAAAGTCTGCAAGTGGATATTTGGACCTCTTTGACGGCTTCTTTGGAAACGGGATTTCTTCATATAACGCTAGACAGAAGAATTCTCACTAACTTCTTTGTGTTGTGTGTATTCAACTCACAGAGTTGAACCTTTCTTGAGAGAAAGCAGATTTGAAACACTCTATTTGTGGAATTTGCTAGTGCAGATTTCATACGCTTCGAAGACAATGATAGAAAAGGATATAACTTCATATTAAAACTAGACAAAATCATTCTCAGAAAACACTTTGTGATGTGTGTGTTCAACTCACAGAGTTTAACCTTTCTTTTATTGAGCAGTTTGGAAATACACTCTTTGTAAGTCTGCAAGTGGACAATTGGCCCTCTTTGAGCCCTTCGTTAGAAACGGGATTTCCTCATATAATGCTAGACAGAAGAATTCTCAGTAACTTCTTTGTGTTGTTTGTATTCAACTCACAGATTTGAACGTTCTTTAGAGAGAGCAGATTTGAAACACTCTGTTCTTGGAATTTGCAAGTGCAGATTTCAAGCGCTTCTAGGCCTATGGCAGAAAAGGAAATATCTTCGTATAAAAACTACACGGAATCCTTCTCAACAACTACTTTGTGATGTGTGCGTTGAACTCACAGAGTTTAACCTTTCTTTTCATAGAGCAGTTTGGAAACACTCTGTTTGTAAAGTCTGCAGGTGCTTATTTGGACTTCTTTGAGGCCTTCGTTGGAAACGGGATTTCTTCACATACTACTAGACAGAAGAATTCTCAGTCACTTCTTTGTGTTGAGGTATTCAAGTCACAGAGTTGAAACTTCCTTTAGACCGAGCAGTTTTGAAAAACTCTTTCTGTGGAATTTGCAAGTGGAGATTTCAAACGATTTGAGGCTAATCTTTGAAATGGAAATATCTTCGTGTAAAAACTACACAGAATCATTCTCAGAAATTGCTTTGTTATCTGTGCGTTGAGCTCACAGAGTTTCACCTTTCTCTTCATAGAGCAGTTTGGAAAGACTCTGTCTGTAAAGTCTGCAAGTGATTAGTTAGACCCCTTTGAGGCCTTCTTTGGAAGCGGGATTTCTCATTTACTGCTAGACAGAAGAGTTCTCAGTAAATCCTTTGTGTTGTGTGTATTCAACTCACAGAGTTGAACCTTCCTTTATTCAGAGAAGTTTTGAAAAACACTTTTTGTGGAATTTGCAAGTGGAGATTTCAAGCGATTTGACGCCAATCTTAGACATGGAAATTTCTTCATATTAAAAGTACACAGAGTCATTCGCAGAAACTAGTTTGTGATGTGTGCCTTCAACTCACAGTGTTTAACCTTTGTTTTCATAGAGCAGTTTGGAAACACTCTATTTGTAAAGTCTGCAAGTGGATATTTGGACTTCTTTGACGCCTTCGTTGGAAACGGGATTTCTTCTTATAACGCTACACAGAAGAATTCACAGTAACTTCTTTGTGTTGTGTGTATTCAACTCACAGAGTTGAACCTTTCTTTAGAGAGAGCAGATTTGAAACACTCTTTTTGTGGAATTTGCTAGTGCAGATATCAAAGGCTTCGAAGATAGTGATAGAAAAGGATATATCTTCATATTAAAACTAGACAAAATCATTCTCAGAAAACACTTTGTGATGTGTGTGTTCAACTCACAGAGTTTAACCTTTCTTTAATGGAGCAGTTTGGAAATACACTCTTTGTAAATGTGAAAGTCGAGAATTGTCCCTCTTTGAGCCCTTCGTTGGAAAAGGGATTTCCTCATATAATGCTAGACAGAAGAATTCTCAGTAACTTCTTTGTGTTGTTTGTATTCAACGCACAGATTTGAACCTTCCTTTAGAGAGAGCAGATTTGAAACACTCTGTTTTTGGAATTTGCAAGTACAGATTTCAAGCGCTTCTTGGCCTATGGCAGAAAAGGAAATATCTTCGTATAAAAACTACACAGAATCATTCTCAACAACTTCTTTGTGATGTGTGCGTTCAACTCACAGAGTTTAACCTTTCTTTTCATAGAGCAGTTTGGAAATACTCTGTTTGTAAAGCCTGCAAGTGCTTTTTTGGACTTCATTGAGGCCTTCGTTGGAAACGGGATTTCTTCACATAATGCTAGACAGAAGAATTCTCAGTCACTTCTTTGTGTTGTGTGTATTCAAGTCACAGAGTTGAACCGTCCTTTAGACAGAGCAGTCTTGAAAAATTCTGTCTGTGGAATTTGCAAGTGGAGATTTCAAGCAATTTGAGGCTAATCTTTGAAATGGAAATATCTTCGTGTAAAAACTACACAGAATCATTCTCAGAAACTGCTTTGTTATCTGTGCATTCAGTTCACAGAGTTCCACCTTTCTCTTCATAGAGCAGTTTGGAAAGACTCTGTCTGTAAAGTCTGCAAGTGATTACTTAGACCCCTTTGAGGCCTTCGTTTGAAGCGGGATTTCTCATTTACTGCTAGACAGAAGAATTCTCAGTAAATCCTTTGTGTTGTGTGTATTCAACTCACAGAGTTGAACCTTCCTTTATTCAGAGAGGTTTTGAAAAAACACTTATTGTGGAATTTGCAAGTGGAGATTTCAAGCGATTTGACGCCAATCTTAGACATGGAAATATCTTCATATTAAAAGTACACAGAGTCATTCGTAGAAACTAGTTTGTGATGTGTGCCTTCAACTCACAGAGTTTAACCTTTCTTTTCATAGAGCAGTTTGGAAACACTTTGTAAAGTCTGCAGGTGTTTTTTTGGACTTCATTGAGACCTTCGTTGGAAACGGGATTTCTTCATATAATGCTAGACAGAAGCATTCTCAGTCACTTCTTTGTGTTGTGTTTATTCAAGTCACAGAGTTGAACCTTCCTTTAGACAAAGCAGTTTTGAAAATTTCTTTCTCTGGAATTTGCAAGTGGAGATTTCAAGGGATTTGAGGCTAATCTTTGAAATGGAAATATCTTCGTGTAAAAACTATACAGAATCATTCTCAGAAACTGCTTTGTTATCTGTGCGTTCAGTTCACTGAGTTTCACCTTTCTCTTCATAGAGCAGTTTGGAAAGACTGTCTGTAAAGTCTGCAAGTGATTAGTTAGACCCCTTTGAGGCCTTCGTTGGAAGCGGGATTTCTCATTTACTGCTAGACAGAAGAATTCCCATTAAATCCTTTGTGTTGTGTGTATTCAACTCACAGAGTT
>NC_000010.11:39615618-39617141 GCF_000001405.40 Homo sapiens
CTGTATGTAAAGTCTGCAAGTGATTACTTCGACCCCTTTGAGGACTTCGTTGGAAGCGGGATTTTTTCATTTACTGCTAGACAGAAGAATTCTCAGTAAATCCTTTGTGTTGTGTGTATTCAACTCACAGAGTTGAACCTTCCTTTATTCAGAGCAGTTTTGAAACACTCTTTCTGTGGAATTTGAAAGTGGAGATTTCAAGCGATTTGAGGCTAATCTTTGAAATGGAAATATCTTCGTGTAAAAACTACACAGAATCATTCTCAGAAACTGCTTTGTTATCTTTGCGTTCAGTTCACAGAGTTTCACCTTTCTCTTCATAGAGCAGTTTGGAAAGACTCTGTCTGTAAAGTCTGCAAGTGATTAGTTAGACCCCTTTGAGGCCTTCGTAGAAGCGGGGTTTCTCATTTACTGCCAGACAGAAGAATTCTCAGTAAATCCTTTGTGTTGTGTGTATTCAACTCACAGAGTGGAACCTTCCTTTATTCAGAGCAGTTTTGAAAAACACTTTTTGTGGAATTTGGAAGTGGAGATTTCAAGCGAATTCATGCCAATCTTAGACATGGAAATATCTTCGTATTAAAAGTACACAGAGTCATTGGCAAAAACTAGCTTGTGATGTGTGCCTTCAACTCACAGAGTTTAATCTTTCTTTTCATAGAGCAGTTTGGAAACACTCTATTTGTAAAGTCTGCAAGTGGATATTTGGACCTCTTTGAGGCCTTCGTTGGAAACGGGATTTCTTCACATAATGCTAGACAGAAGAATTCTCAGTCACATCTTTGTGTTGTGTGTATTCAAGTCACAGAGTTGTACCTTCCTTTAGACAGAGCAGTTTTGAAAAATTCTTTCTGTGGAATTTGCAAGTGGAGATTTCAAGCGAGTTGAGGCTAATCTTTGAAATGGAAATATCTTCGTGTAAAAACTACACAGAATCATTCTCAGAAACTGCTTTGTTATCTGTGCGTTCAGCTCACAGAGTTCCACCTTTCTTTTCATAGAGCAGTTTGGAAAGACTCTGTCTGTGAAGTCTGCAAGTGATTACTTGGACCCCTTTGAGGACATCGTTGGAGGCGGGATTTTTTCATTTACTGCTAGACAGAAGAATTCTCAGTAAATCCTTTGTCTTGTGTGTATTCAACTCACAGAGTGGAACCTTCTTTTATTCAGAGCAGTTTTGAAAACCTCTTTTTGTGGAATTTGCAAGTGGAGATTTCAAGCGATTTGACGCCAATCTTAGACATGGAAATATCTTCATATTGAAAGTACACAGAGTCATTCGTAGAAACTTGTTTGTGATGTGTGCCTTCATCTCACAGCGTTTAAACTTTCTTTTCATAGAGCAGTTTGGGAACACTCTGTTTGTAAAGTCTGCAAGTGGATATTTGGACCTCTTTGAGGCCTTCGTTGGAAACGGGATTTCTTCATATAACGCTACACAGAAGAATTCTCGGTAACTTCTTTGTGTTGTGTGTATTCAACTCACAGAGTTGAACCTTCTTTAGAGAGAGCAGAGTTGAAAC
>NC_000010.11:39617255-39622353 GCF_000001405.40 Homo sapiens
AGCAGTTTGAAACACTTTGTAAAGTCTGCAGGTGTTTTTTTGGACTTCATTGAGACCTTCGTTGGAAACGGGATTTCTTCATATAATGCTAGACAGAAGCATTCTCAGTCACTTCTTTGTGTTGTGTTTATTCAAGTCACAGAGTTGAACCTTCCTTTAGACAAAGCAGTTTTGAAAATTTCTTTCTCTGGAATTTGCAAGTGGAGATTTCAAGGGATTTGAGGCTAATCTTTGAAATGGAAATATCTTCGTGTAAAAACTATACAGAATCATTCTCAGAAACTGCTTTGTTATCTGTGCGTTCAGTTCACTGAGTTTCACCTTTCTCTTCATAGAGCAGTTTGGAAAGACTGTCTGTAAAGTCTGCAAGTGATTAGTTAGACCCCTTTGAGGCCTTCGTTGGAAGCGGGATTTCTCATTTACTGCTAGACAGAAGAATTCCCATTAAATCCTTTGTGTTGTGTGTATTCAACTCACAGAGTTGAACCTTCCTTTATTCAGAGCAGTTTGAAACACTCTTTTTGTGGAATTTGCAAGTGGAGATTTCAAGCGAATTCACGCCAATCTTAGACATGGAAATATCTTCGTATTAAAAGTACACAGAGTCATTGGCAGAAACTAGTTTGTGATGTGTGCCTTCAACTCACAGAGTTTAATCTTTCTTTTCATAGAGCAGTTTGGAAACACTCTATGTGTGAAGTCTGGAAGTGGATATTTGGACCTCTTTGAGGGCTTCGTTGGAAACGGGATTTCTTCACATAATGCTAGACAGAAGAATTCTCAGTCACATCTTTGTGTTGTGTGGGTTCAAGTCACAGAGTTGAACCTTCCTTTAGACAGAGCAGTTTTGAAAAATTCTTTCTGTGGAATTTGCAAGTGGAGATTTCAAACGATTTGAGGCTAATCTTTGAAATGGAAATATCTTCGTGTAAAAACTACACAGAATCATTCTCAGAAACTGCTTTGTTATCTGTGCGTTCAGCTCACAGAGTTCCACCTTTCTTTTCATAGAGCAGTTTGGAAAGACTCTGTCTGTGAAGTCTGCAAGTGATTACTTGGACCCCTTTGAGGACTTCGTTGGAGGCGGGATTTTGTCATTTACTGCTAGACAGAAGAATTCTCAGTAAATCCTTTGTCTTGTGTGTATTCAACTCACAGAGTGGAACCTTCTTTTATTCAGAGCAGTTTTGGAACACTCTTTTTGTGGAATTTGCAAGTGGAGATTTCAAGCGATTTGACGCCAATCTTAGACATGGAAATATCTTCATATTGAAAGTACACAGAGTCATTCGTAGAAACTTGTTTGTGATGTGTGCCTTCATCTCACAGCGTTTAACCTTTCTTTTCATAGAGCAGTTTGGGAACACTCTATTTGTAAAGTCTGCAAGTGGATATTTGGACCTCTTTGTGGCCTTCGTTGGAAACGGGATTTCTTCATATAAAGCTAAACAGAAGAATTCTCAGTAACTTCTTTGTGTTGTGTGCATTCAACTCACAGAGTTGAACCTTTCTTTAGAGAGAGCAGAGTTGAAACACTCTTTTTGTGGAATTTGCTAGTGCAGATTTCAAACGCTTCGAAGACAGTGATAGAAAAGGATATATCTTCGAATTAAAATTAGACAAAATCATTCTCAGAAAACACTTTGTGATGTGTCTGTTCAACTCACAGAGGTTAACCTTTCTTTAATCGAGCAGTTTGGAAATACACTCTTTGTAAGTCTGCAGGTGGATAATTGGCCTTCTTTGAGCCCTTCGTTGGAAACGGGATTTCCCATATAATGCTAGATAGAAGAATTCTCAGTAACTTCTTTGTATTGTTTGTATTCAACTCACAGATTTGAACCTTCCTTTAGAGAGAGCAGTTTTGAAACACTCTGTTTTTGGAATTTGCAAGTGCAGATTTCAAGCGCTTCTAGGCCTATGGCAGAAAAGGAAATATCTTCGTATAAAAACTACACAGAATCATTCTCAACAACTACTTTGTGATGTGTGCGTTCAACTCACAGAGTTTAACCTTTCTTTTCATAGAGCAGTTTCGAAACACTCTGTTTGTAAAGTCTGCAGGTGCTTATTTGGACTTCTTTGAGGCCTTCGTTGGAAACGGGATTTCTTCATATAATGCTAGACAGAAGAATTCTCAGTCACCTCTTTGTGTTGTGTGTATTCAAGTCACAAAGTTGAACCGTCCTTTAGACAGAGCAGTTGTGGAAAACTCTTTCTGTGGAATTTGCAAGTGGAGATTTCAAGCGATTTGAGGCTAATCTTTGAAATGGAAATATCTTCGTGTAAAAACTACACAGAATCATTCTCAGAAACTGCTTTGTTATGTGTGCGTTCAGCTCACAGAGTTCCACCTTTCTTTTCATAGAGCAGGTTGGAAAGACTCTGTCTGTAAAGTCTGCAAGTGATTACTTGGACCCCTTTGAGGACTTCTTTGGAAGCGGGATTTTTTCATTTACTGCTAGACAGAAGAATTCTCATTAAATCCTTTGTGTTGTGTGTATTCAACTCACAGAGTTGAACCTTCCTTTATTCAGAGAAGTTTTGAAAAACACTTTTTGTGGAATTTGCAAGTGGAGATTTCAAGCGATTTGACACCAATCTTAGACGTGGAAATATCTTCATATTAAAAGTACACAGAGTCATTCGTAGAAACTAGTTTGTGATGTGTGCCTTCAACTCACAGAGTTTAACCTTTCTTTTCATAGAGCAGTTTGGAAACACTCTATTTGTAAAGTCTGCAAGTGGATATTTGGACCTCTTTGAGGCCTTCGTTGGAAATGGGATTTCTTCATATAACGCTAGACAGAAGAATTCTCAGTAACTTCTTTGTGTTGTGTGTATTCAACTCACAGAGTTGAACCTTTCTTGAGAGAGAGCAGAGTTGAAACACTCTTTTTGTGGAATTTGCTAGTGCAGATTTCAAACGCTTCGAAGTCTGTGATAGAAAAGGATATATCTTCGTACTAAAACTAGACAAAATCATTCTCAGAAAACACTTTGTGATGTGTGTGTTCAACTCACAGAGTTTAACCTTTCTTTAATCGAGCAGTTTGGAAATACACTCTTTGTAAGTCTGCAGGTTCATAATTGGCCCTCTTTAAGCCCTTCGTTGGAAACGGGATTTCCTCATAAAATGCTAGATAGAAGAATTCTCAGTAACTTCTTTGTGTTGTTTGTATTCAACTCACAGATTTTAAACTTCCTTTAGAGAGAGCAGATTTGAAACACTCTGTTTTTGGCCTTTGCAAGTGCAGATTTCAAGCGCTTCTACGCCTATGGCAAAAAAGGAAATATCTTCGTATAAATACTACACAGAATCATTGTCAGAAACTGCTTTGTTATGTGTGCGTTCAGCTCACAGAGTTCCACCTTTCTTTCATAGAGCAGTTTGGAAAGACTCTGTATGTAAAGTCTGCAAGTGATTACTTCGACCCCTTTGAGGCCTTCGTTGGAAGCGGGATTTTTTCATTTACTGCTAGACAGAAGAATTCTCATTAAATCCTTTGGTGTTGTGTGTATTCAACTCACAGAGTTGAACCTTCCTTTATTCAGAGCAGTTTTGAAACACTCTTTCTGTGGAATTTGCAAGTGGAGATTTCAGGCGATTTGAGGCTAATCTTTGAAATGGAAATATCTTCGTGTAAAAACTACACAGAATCATTCTCAGAAACTGCTTTGTTATCTTTGCGTTCAGTTCACAGAGTTTCACCTTTCTCTTCATAGAGCAGTTTGGAAAGACTCTGTCTGTAAAGTCTGCAAGTGATTAGTTAGACCCCTTTGAGGCCTTCGTAGGAAGCGGGATTTCTCATTTACTGCTAGACAGAAGAATTCTCAGTAAATCCTTTGTCTTGTGTGAATTCAACTCACAGAGTTGAACCTTCCTTTATTCAGAGAAGTTTTGAAAAACACTTTTTGTGGAATTTGCAAGTGGAGATTTCAAGCGATTTGACGCCAATCTTAGACGTGGAAATATCTTCATATTAAAAGTACACAGAGTCATTCGTAGAAACTAGTTTGTGATGTGTGCCTTCAACTCACAGAGTTTAACCTTTCTTTTCATAGAGCAGTTTGGAAACACTCTATTTGTAAAGTCTGCAAGTGGATATTTGGACCTGTTTGAGGCCTTCGTTGGAAATGGGATTTCTTCATATAACGCTAGACAGAAGAATTCTCAGTAACTTCTTTGTGTTGTGTGTATTCAACTCACAGAGTTGAACCTTTCTTGAGAGAGAGCAGAGTTGAAACACTCTTTTTGTGGAATTTGCTAGTGCAGAATTCAAACGCTTCGAAGACAGTGATAGAAAAGGATATATCTTCGTATTAAAACTAGACGAAATCATTCTCAGAATACACTTTGTGATGTGTGAGTTCAACTCACAGAGTTTAACCTTTCTTTAATCGAGCAGTTTGGAAATACACTCTTTGTAAGTCTGCAGGTGGATAATTGGCCCTCTTTGAGCCCTTCATTGGAAACGGGATTTCCTCATATAATGCTAGACAGAATAATTCTCAGTAACTTCTTTGTGTTGTTTGTATTCAACTCACAGATTTGAACCTTCCTTTAGAGAGAGCAGATTTGAAACACTCTGCTTTTGGAATTTGCAAGTGCAGATTTCAAGCGCTTCTAGGCCTATGGCAGAAAAGGAAATATCTTCGTATTATAAAAACTACACAGAATCATTCTCAACAACTACTTTGTGATGTGTGCGTTCAACTCACAGAGTTTAACCTTCCTTTTCATAGAGCAGTTTGGAAACACTCTGTTTGTAAAGTCTGCAGTTGCTTATTTGGACTTCTTTGAGGCCTTCGTTGGAAATGGGATTTCTTCACATAATGCTACACAGAAGCATTCTCTGTCACTTCTTTGTGTTGTGTGTATTCAAATCACAGAGTTGAACCTTCCTTTAGACAGAGCAGTTTTGAAAAACAATTTCTGTGGAATTTGCAAGTGGGAGATTCAAGCGATTTGAGGCAAATCTTTGAAATGGAAATATCTTCGTGTAAAAACTACACAGAATCATTCTCAGAAACTGCTTTGTTCTGTGTGCGTTCAGCTTCACAGAGTCCACCTTTTCTTTCATAGAGCAGTTTGGAA
>NC_000010.11:39625274-39635037 GCF_000001405.40 Homo sapiens
AGAAGAATTCTCATTAAATCCTTTGTGTTGTGTGTATTCAACTTACAGAGTTGAACCTTCCTTTATTCAGAGCAGTTTTGAAACACTCTTTCTGTGGAATTTGCAAGTGGATATTTCAGGCGATTTGAGGCAAATCTTTGAAATGGAAATATCTTCGTGTAAAAACTACACAGAATCATTCTCAGAAACTGCTTTGTTATCTGTGCGTTCAGTTCACAGAGTTTCACCTTTCTCTTCATAGAGCAGTTTGGAAACACTCTGTCTGTAAAGTCTGCAAGTGATTAGTTAGACCCCTTTGAGGCCTTCATTGGAAGCGGGATTTCTCATTTACTGCTAGACAGAAGAATTCTCAGTAAATCCTTTGTGTTGTGTGTATTCAACTCACAGAGTTGAACCTTCCTTTATTCAGAGAAGTTTTGAAAAACACTTTTTGTGGAATTTGCAAGTGGAGATTTCAAGAGATTTGACGCCAATCTTAGACGTGGAAATATATTCATATTAAAAGTACACAGAGTCATTCGTAGAAACTAGTTTGTGATGTGTGCCTTCATCTCACAGAGTTTAACCTTTCTTTTCATAGAGCAGTTTGGAAACACTCTATATGTAAAGTCTGCAAGTGGATATTTGGACCTCTTTGAGGCCTTCGTTGGAAACGGGATTTCTTCATATAACGCTAGACAGAAGAATTCTCAGTAACTTCTTTGTGTTGTGTGTATTTAACTCACAGAGTTGAACCTTTCTTGAGAGAGAGCAGAGTTGAAACACTCTTTTTGTGGAATTTCCTAGTGCAGATTTCAATCGCTTCAAAGACAGTGATAGAAAAGGTTATACCTTCGTACTAAAACTAGACGAAATCATTCTCAGAATACACTTTGTGATGTGTGTGTTCAACTCACAGAGTTTAAACTTTCTTTAATCGAGCAGTTTGGAAATACACTCTTTGTAAGTCTGCAGGTGGATAATTGGCCTCTTTGAGCCCTTCGTTGGAAACGGGATTTCCTCATATAATGCTAGACAGAAGAATTCTCAGTAACTTCTTTGTGTTGTTTGTATTCAACTCACAGATTTGAACCTTCCTTTAGAGAGAGCAGATTTGAAACACTCTGTTGTTGGAATTTGCAAGTGCAGATTTCAAGCGCTTCTAGGCCTATGGCAGAAAAGGAAATATCTTCGTATAAAAACTACACAGAATCATTCTCAACAAGTACTTTGTGATGTGTGCGTTCAACTCACAGAGTTTAACCTTTCTTTTCATAGAGCAGTTTGGAAACACTCTGTTTGTAAAGTCTGCAGGTGCTTATTTGGACTTCTTTGAGGCTTTCGTTGGAAATGGGATTTCTTCATATAATGCTAGACAGTAGAATTCTCAGTTACTTTTTTGTGTTGTGTGTATTCAAGTCACAGAGTTGAACCTTCTTTTAGACAGAGCAGTTTTGAAAAACTCTTTCTGTGGAATTTGCAAGTGGAGATTTCAAGCGATTTGAGGCTAATCTTTCAAATGGAAATATCTTCGTGTAAAAGCTACACAGAATCATTCTCAGAAACTGCTTTGTTATGTGTGCGTTCAGCTCACAGAGTTCCACCTTTCTTTTCATAGAGCAGTTTGGAAAGACTCTGTCTGTAAAGTCTACAAGTGATTACTTGGACCCCTTTGAGGACTTCGTTGAAAGCGGGATTTTTTCATTTACTGCTAGACAGAAGAATTCTCTTTAAATCCTTTGTGTTGTGTGTATTCAACTCACAGAGTTGAACCTTCCTTTATTCAGAGCAGTTTTGAAACACTCTTTCTGTGGAATTTGCAAGTGGAGATTTCAAGCGATTTGAGGCTAATCTTTGAAATGGAAATATCTTCGTGTAAAAACTACACAGAATCATTCTCAGAAACTGCTTTGTTATCTGTGCGTTCAGTTCACAGAGTTTCACCTTTCTCTTCATAGAGCAGTTTGGAAAGACTCTGTCTGTAAAGTCTACAAGTGATTAGTTAGACCCCTTTGAGGCCTTCGTAGGAAGTGGGATTTCTCATTTACTGCTAGACAGAAGAATTCTCAGTAAATCCCTTGTGTTGTGTGTATTCAACTCATAGAGTTGAACCTTCCTTTATTCAGAGAAGTTTTGAAAAACACTTTTTGTGGAATTTGCAAGTGGAGATTTCAAGCGATTTGATGCCAATCTTAGACGTGGAAATATCTTCATATTAAAAGTACACAGAGTCATTCGTAGAAACTAGTTTGTGATGTGTGCCTTCAACTCACAGAGTTTAACCTTTCTTTTCATAGAGCAGTTTGGAAACACTCTATTTGTAAAGTCTGCAAGTAGATATTTGGACCTCTTTGAGGCCTTCGTTGGAAACGGGATTTCTTCATATAACGCTAAACAGAAGAATTCTCAGTAACTACTTTGTGTTGTCTGTATTCAACTCACAGAGTTGAACCTTTCTTTAGAGAGAGCAGAGTTGAAACACTCTTTTTGTGGAATTTGCTAGTGCAGATTTCAAACGCTTCGAAGACAGTGATAGAAAAGGATATATCTTCGTATTAAAACTAGACAAAATCATTCGCAGAAAACACTTTGTGATGTGTGTGTTCAACTCACAGAGTTTAACCTTTCTTAGTCGAGCAGTTTGGAAATACACTCTTTGTAAGTCTGCTGGTGGATAATTGGCCCTCTTTGAGCCCTTCATTGGAAATGGGATTTCCTCATATAATGCTAGACAGAAGAATTCTCAGTAACTTCTTTGTGTTGTTTGTATTCAACTCACAGATTTGAACCTTCCTTTAGAGAGAGCAGATTGCAAACACTCTGTTTTTGGAATTTGCAAGTGCAGATTTCAAGCGCTTCTAGGCCTATGGCAGAAAAGGAAATATCTTCGTATAAAAGCTACACAGAATCATTCTCAACAACTACTTTGTGATGTGTGCGTTCAACTCACAGAGTTTAACCTTTCTTTTCATAGAGCAGTTTGGAAACACTCTGTTTGTAAAGTCTGCAGGTGCTTATTTGGACTTCTTTGAGGCCTTCCTTGGAAACCGGATTTCTTCATATAATGCTAGACAGAAGCATTCTCAGTCACTTCTTTGTGTTGTGTGTATTCAAGTCACAGAGTTGAACCTTCCTTTAGACAGAGCAGTTTTGAAAAACTCTTTCTGTGGAATTTGCAAGTGGAGATTTCAAGCGATTTGAGGCTAATCTTTGAAATGGAAATATCTTCGTGTAAAAACTACACAGAATCATTGTCAGAAACTGCTTTGTTATGTGTGCGTTCAGCTCACAGAGTTCCACCTTCCTTTTCATAGAGCAGTTTGGAAAGACTCTGTGAAGTCTGCAAGTGATTACTTGGACCCCTTTGAGGACTTCGTTGGAAGCGGGATTTTTTCATTTACTGCTAGACAGAAGAATTCTCATTAAATCCTTTGTGTTGTGTGTATTCAACTCACAGAGTTGAACCTTCCTTTATTCAGAGCAGTTTTGAAACACTCTTTCTGTGGAATTTGCAAGTGGAGATTTCAAGAGATTTGAGGCTAATCTTTGAAATGGAAATATCTTCGTGTAAAAACTACACAGAATCATTCTCAGAAACTGCTTTGTTATCTGTGCGTTCAGTTCACAGAGTTTCACCTTTCTCTTCATAGAGCAGTTTGGAAAGACTCTGTCTGTAAAGTCTGCAAGTGATTAGTTGGACACATTTGAGGCCTTCGTAGGAAGCGGGATTACTCATTTACTGCTAGACAGAAGAATTCTCAGTAAATCCTTTGTGTTGTGTGTATTCAACTCACAGAGTTGAACCTTCCTTTATTCAGAGAAGTTTTGAAAAACACTTTTTGTGGAATTTGCAAGTGGAGATTTCAAGCGATTTGACGCCAATCTTAGACTTGGAAATATCTTCATATTAAAAGTACACAGAGTCATTCGCAGAAACTAGTTTGTGATGTGTGCCTTCAACTCACAGAGTTTAACCTTTCTTTTCATAGAGCAGTTTGGAAACACTCTATTTGGAAAGTCTGCAAGTGGATATTTGGACCTCTTTGAGGCCTTCGTTGGAAACGGGATTTCTTCATATAACGCTAGACAGAAGAATTCTCAGTAACTTCTTTTTGTTGTGTGTATTCAACTCACAGAGTTGAATCTTTCTTGAGAGAGAGCAGAGTTGAAACACTCTTTTTGTGGAATTTGCTAGTGCAGATTTCAAACGCTTCGAAGATAGTGATAGAAAAGGATATATCTTCGTATTAAAACTAGAAAAAATCATTCTCAGAAAACACTTTGTGATGTGTGTGTTCAACTCACAGAGTTTAACCTTTCTTTAATCGAGCAGTTTGGAAATACACTCTTTGTAAGTCTGCAGGTGGATAATTGGCCCTCTCTGAGCCCTTTGTTGGAAACGGGATTTCCTCATATAATGCTAGACAGAAGAATTCTCAGTAACTACTTTGTTTTGTTTGTATTCAACTTACAGATTTGAACCTTCCTTTAGAGAAAGCAGATTTGAAACACTCTGTTGTTGGAATTTGCAAGTGCAGATTTCAAGCGCTTCTAGGCCTATGGCAGAAAAGGAAATATCTTCGTATAAAAGCTACACAGAATCATTCTCAACAACTGCTTTGTGATGTGTGCGTTCAACTCACAGAGTTTAACCTTTCTTTTCATAGAGCAGTTTGGAAACACTCTGTTTGTAAAATCTGCAGGTGCTTATTTGGACTTCTTTGAGGCCTTCGTTGGAAACGGGATTTCTTCATATAATGCTAGACAGTAGAATTCTCAGTCACTTTTTTATGTGGTGTGTATTCAAGTCACAGAGTTGAACCTTCTTTTAGACAGAGCAGTTTTGAAAAACTCTTTCTGTGGAATTTGCAAGTGGAGATTTCAAGCGATTTGAGGCTAATCTTTGAAATGGAAATATCTTCGTGTAAAATCTACACAGAATCATTCTCAGAAACTGCTTTGTTATGTGTGCGTTCAGCTCACAGAGTTCCACCTTTCTTTTCATAGAGCAGTTTGGAAAGACTCTGTCTGTAAAGTCTGCAAGTGATTACTTGGACCCCTTTGAGGACTTCGTTGAAAGCGGGATTTTTTCATTTACTGCTAGACAGAAGAATTCTCATTAAATCCTTTGTGTTGTGTGTATTCAACTCACAGAGTTGAACCTTCCTTTATTCAGAGCAGTTTTGAAACACTCTTTCTGTGGAATTTGCAAGTGGAGATTTCAAGCGATTTGAGGCTAATCTTTGAAATGGAAATATCTTCGTGTAAAAACTACACAGAATCATTCTCAGAAACTGCTTTCTTATGTGTGCCTTCAGCTCACAGAGTTCCACCTTTCTTTTCATAGAGCAGTTTGGAAAGACTCTGTCTGTAAAGTCTGCAAGTGATTAGTTAGACCCCTTTGAGGCCTTCGTAGGAAGCGGGATTTCTCATTTACTGCTAGACAGAAGAATTCTCAGTAAATCCTTTGTGTTGTGTGTATTCAACTCACAGAGTTGAACCTTCCTTTATTCAGAGAAGTTTTGAAAAACACTTTTTGTGGAATTTGCAAGTGGAGATTTCAAGCGATTTGACGCCAATCTTAGACGTGGAAATATCTTCATATTAAAAGTACACAGAGTCATTTGTAGAAACTAGATTGTGATGTGTGCCTTCAACTCACAGAGTTTAACCTTTCTTTTCATAGAGCAGTTTGGAAACACTCTATTTGTAAAGTCTGCAAGTGGATATTTGGACCACTTTGAGGCCTTCGTTGGAAACGGGATTTCTTCATATAACGCTAGACAGAAGAATTCTCTGTAACTTCTTTGTGTTGTGTGTATTCAACTCACAGAGTTGAACCTTTCTTGGGAGAGAGCAGAGTTGAAACACTCTTTTTGTGGAATTTGCTAGTGCAGATTCCAAACGCTTCGAAGACAGTGATAGAAAAGGATATATCTTCGTATTAAAACTAGACAAAATCATTCTCAGAAAACACTTTGTGATGTGTGTGTTCAACTCACAGAGTTTAACCTTTCTTTAATCGAGCAGTTTGGAAATACACTCTTTGTAAGTCTGCAGGTGGATAATTGGCCCTCTCTGAGCCCTTCATTGGAAACGGGATTTCCTCATATACTGCTAGACAGAAGAATTCTCAGTAATTTCTTTGTGTTGTTTGTATTCAACTCACAGATTTGAACCTTCCTTTAGAGAGAGCAGATTTGAAACACTCTGTTTTTGGAATTTGCAAGTGCAGACTTCAAGCTCTTCTAGGCCTATGGCAGAAAAGGAAATATCTTCGTATAAAAACTACACAGAATCATTCTCAACAACTACTTTGTGATGTGTGCGTTCAACTCACAGAGTTTAAACTTTCTTTTCATAGAGCAGTTTGGAAACACTCTGTTTGTAAAGTCTGCAGGTGCTTATTTGGACTTCTTTGAGGCCTTCTTTGGAAACGGGATTTCTTCATATAATGCTAGTCACTTCTTTGTGTTGTGTGTATTCAAGTCACAGAGTTGAACCTTCCTTTAGACAGAGCAGTTTTGAAAAACTCTTTCTGTGGAATCTGCAAGTGGAGATTTCAAGCGATTTGAGGCTAATCTTTGAAATGGAAGTATCTTCGTCTAAAAACTACACAGAATCATTCTCAGAAACTGCTTTGTTATGTGTGCGTTCAGCTCACAGAGTTCCACCTTTCTTTTCATAGAGCAGTTTGGAAAGACTCTGTCTGTGAAGTCTGCAAGTGATTACTTGGACACCTTTGAGGACTTCGTTGGAAGCGGGATTTTTTCATTTACTGCTAGACAGAAGAATTCTCATTAAATCCTTTGTTTTGTGTGTATTCAACTCACAGAGTTGAACCTTCCTTTATTCAGAGCAGTTTTGAAACACTCTTTCTGTGGAATTTGCAAGTGGAGATTTCAAGCGATTTGAGGCTAATCTTTGAAATGGAAATATCTTCGTGTAAAAACTACACAGAATCATTCTCAGAAACTGCTTTGTTATCTGTGCGTTCAGTTCACAGAGTTTCACCTTTCTCTTCATAGAGCAGTTTGGAAAGACTCTGTCTGTAAAGTCTGCAAGTGATTAGTTAGATACCTTTGAGGCCTTCGTAGGAAGCGGGACTTCTCATTTACTGCTAGACAGAAGAATACTCAGTAAATCCTTTGTGTTGTTTGTATTCAACTCACAGAGTTTAAACTTCCTTTATTCAGAGAAGTTTTGAAAAACACTTTTTGTGGAATTTGCAAGTGGAGATTTCAAGCGATTTGACGCCAATCTTAGACTGGGAAATATCTTCATATTAAAAGTACACAGAGTCATTCGCAGAAACTAGTTTGTGATGTGTGCCTTCAACTCACAGAGTTTAACCTTTCTTTTCATAGAGCAGTTTGGAAACACTCTATTTGTAAAGTCTGCAAGTGGATATTTGGACCTCTTTGAGGCCTTCGTTGGAAACGGGATTTCTTCATATAACGCTAGACAGAAGAATTCTCAGTAACTTCTTTTTGTTGTGTGTATTCAACTCACAGAGTTGAATCTTTCTTGAGAGAGAGCAGAGTTGAAACACTCTTTTTGTGGAATTTGCTAGTGCAGATTTCAAACGCTTCGAAGACAGTGATAGAAAAGGATATATCTTCGTATTAAAACTAATCGAAATCATTCTCAGAATACACTTTGTGATGTGTGTGTTCAACTCACAGAGTTTAACCTTTCTTTAATCAAGCAGTTTGGAAATACACTCTTTGTAAGTCTGCAGGTGCATAATTGGCCCTCTTTGAGCCCTTCGTTGGAAACGGGATTTCCTCATATAATGCTAGACAGAAGAATTCTCAGTAACTTCTTTGTGTTGTTTGTATTCAACTCACAGATTTGAACCTTCCTTTAGAGAGAGCAGATTTGAAACACTCTGTTTTTGGAATTTGCAAGTGCAGATTTCAAGCGCTTCTAGGCCTATGGCAGAAAAGGAAATACCTTCGTATAAAAACTACACAGAATCATTCTCAACAACTACTTTGTGATGTGTGCGTTCAACTCACAGAGTTTAACCTTTCTTTTCATAGAGCAGTTTGGAAACACTCTGTTTGGAAAGTCTGCAGGTGCTTATTTGGACTTCTTTGAGGCCTTCGTTGGAAACGGGATTTCTTCATATAATGCTAGACAGTAGAATTCTCAGTCACTTTTTTGTCTTGTGTGTATTCAAGTCACAGAGTTAAACCTTCTTTTAGACAGAGCAGTTTTGAAAATCTCTTTCTGTGGAATTTGCAAGTGGAGAATTCTAGCGATTTGAGGCTAATCTTTGAAATGGAAATATCTTCGTGTAAAAACTACACAGAATCATTCACAGAAACTGCTTTCTTATGTGTGCGTTCAGCTCACAGAGTTCCACCTTTCTTTTCATAGAGCAGTTTGGAAAGACTCTGTCTGTAAAGTCTGCATGTGATTACTTGGACCCCTTTGAGGACTTCGTTGGAAGCGGGATTTTCTCATTTACTTCTAGACAGAAGAATTCTCATTAAATCCTTTGTGTTGTGTGTATTCAACTCACAGAGTTGAACCTTCCTTTATTCAGAGAAGTTTTGAAAAACACTTTTTGTGGAATTTGCAAGTGGAGATTTCAAGCGATTTGACACCAATCTTAGACATGGAAATTTCTTCATATTAAAAGTACACAGAGTCATTCGTAGAAACTAGTTTGTGATGTGTGCCTTCATCTCACAGAGTTTAACCTTTCTTTTCATAGAGCAGTTTGGAAACACTCTGTTTGTAAAGTCTGCAAGTGGATATTTGGACCTCTTTGAGGCCTTCTTCGAAAACGGGATTTCTTCATATAACGCTAGACAGAAGAATTCTCAGTAACTTCTTTGTGTTGTGTGTATTCAACTCACAGAGTTGAACCTTTCTTGAGAGAGAGCAGAGTTGAAACACTCTTTTTGTGGAATTTGCTAGTACAGATTTCAAACGCTTCGAAGACAGTGATAGAAAAGGATATATCTTCGTATTAAAACTAGACAAAATCATTCTCAGAAAACACTTTGTGATGTGTGTGTTCAACTCACAGAGTTTAACCTTTCTTTAATCGAGCAGTTTGGAAATCCACTCTTTGTAAGTCTGCAGGTGGATAATTGGCCCTCTTTGAGCCCTTCATTGGAAACGGGATTTCCTCATATAATGCTAGACAGAAGAATTCTCAGTAACTTCTTTGTGTTGTTTGTATTCAACTCACAGATTTGAACTTTCCTTTAGAGAGAGCAGATTTGAAACACTCTGTTTTTGGAATTTGCAAGTGCAGATTTCAAGCGCTTCTAGGCGTATGGCAGAAAAGGAAATATCTTCGTATGAAAACTACACAGAATCATTCTCAACAACTACTTTGTGATGTGTGCGTTCAACTCACAGAGTTTAACCTTTCGTTTCATAGAGCAGTTTGGAAACACTCTGTTTGTAAAATCTGCAGGTGCTTATTTGGACTTCTTTGAGGCCTTCGTTGGAAACGGGATTTCTTCATATAATGCTAGACAGTAGCATTCTCAGTCACTTCTTTGTGTTGTGTGTATTCAAGTCACAGAGTTGAACCTTCCTTTAGACAGAGCAGTTTTGAAAAACTCTTTCTGTGGAATTTGCAAGTGGAGATTTCAAGCGATTTGAGGCTAATCTTTGAAATGGAAATATCTTCATGTAAAAACTACACAGAATCATTCTCAGAAACTGCTTTGTTATGTGTGCGTTCAGCTCACAGAGTTCCACCTTTCTTTTCATAGAGCAGTTTGGAAAGACTCTGTCTGTGAAGTCTGCAAGTGAT
>NC_000010.11:39635057-39636682 GCF_000001405.40 Homo sapiens
CCTTTGTGTTGTGTGTATTCAACTCACAGAGTTGAACCTTCCTTTATTCAGAGCAGTTTTGAAACACTCTTTTTGTGGAATTTGCAAGTGGAGATTTCAGGCGATTTGAGGCTAATCTTTGAAATGGAAATATCTTCGTGTAAAAACTACACAGAATCATTCTCAGAAACTGCTTTGTTATCTGTGCGTTCAGTTCACAGAGTTTCACCTTTCTCTTCATAGAGCAGTTTGGAAAGACTCTGTCTGTAACGTCTGCAAGTGATTAGTTAGACCCCCTTGAGGCCTTCGTAGGAAGCGGGATTTCTCATTTACTGCTAGACAAAAGAATTCTCAGTAAATCCTTTGTGTTGTGTGTATTCAACTCACAGAGTTGAACCTTCCTTTATTCAGAGAAGTTTTGAAAAACAATTTTTGTGGAATTTGCAAGTGGAGATTTCAAGCGATTTGACGCCAATCGTAGACGTGGAAATATCTTCATATTAAAAGTACACAGAGTCATTCGTAGAAACTAGATTGTGATGTGTGCCTTCATCTCACAGAGTTTAACCTTTCTTTTCATAGAGCAGTTTGGAAACACTCTATTTGTAAAGTCTGCAAGTGGATATTTGGACCTCTTTGAGGCCTTCGTTGGAAACGGGATTTCTTCATATAACGCTAGACAGAAGAATTCTCAGTAACTTCTTTGTGTTGTGTGTATTCCACTCACAGAGTTGAACCTTTCTTGAGAGAGAGCAGAGTTGAAACACTCTTTTTGTGGAATTTCCTAGTGCAGATTTCAAACGCTTCGAAGACAGTGATAGAAAAGGGTATATCTTCGTATTAAAACTCGACAAAATCATTCTCAGAAAACACTCTGTGATGTGTGTGTTCAACTCACAGAGTTTAACGTTTCTTTAATCGAGCAGTTTGGAAATACACTCTTTGTAAGTCTGCAGGTGGATAATTGGCCCTCTTTGAACCCTTCATTGGAAACGGGATTTCCTCATATAATGCTAGACAGAAGAATTCTCAGTAACTTCTTTGTGTTGTTTGTATTCAACTCACAGATTTGAACCTTCCTTTAGAGAGAGCAGATTTGAAACACTCTGTTTTTGGAATTTGCAAGTGCAGATTTCAAGCGCTTCTAGGCCTATGGCAGAAAAGGAAATATCTTCGTATGAAAACTACACAGCATCATTCTCAACAACTACTTTGTGATGTGTGCATTCAACTCACAGAGTTTAAACTTTCGTTTCATAGAGCAGTTTGGAAATACTCTGTTTGTAAAGTCTGCAGGTGCTTATTTGGACTTCTTTGAGGCCTTCGTTGGAAACGGGATTTCTTCATATAATGCTAGACAGAAGCATTCTCAGTCACTTCTTTGTGTTGTGTGTATACAAGTCACAGAGTTGAACCTTCCTTTAGACAGAGCAGTTTTGAAAAACTCTTTCTGTGGAATTTGCAAGTGGAGAGTTCAAGCGATTTGAGGCTAATCTTTGAAATGGAAATATCTTCGTGTAAAAACTACACAGAATCATTCTCAGAAACTGCTTTGTTATGTGTGCGTTCAGCTCACAGAGTTCCACCTTTCTTTTCATAGAGCAGTTTGGAAAGACTCTGTCTGTGAAGTCTGCAAGTGATTACTT